>NC_000001.11:209699738-209851253 GCF_000001405.40 Homo sapiens
GTCCCTTCCGCCTATCAGCCTGTAAAATCAAAAGCAAGCTAGTTACTTCTTAGATACAATAGGGGTACAGGTATTGGGTAAATACAGCCATTCCAAATGGGAGAAATTGGCCAAAACAAAGGGGTTACAGGGCCCATGCAAGTCTAAAATCCAAAGGGGCAGTCAAACTTTAAAGCTCCAAAATGATCTCCTTTGAATCCAGGTTACACTGATGCAAAAGGTGGGTTCCCATGGTCTTGGGCAGATCTGCCCCTGTGGCTTTGCAGGGTACAGCCTCCATCCTGGCTGCTTTCATGGGCTGGTATTGAGTGTCTGCGGCTTTCCAAGCAGATGGCACAAACTGCCAGTGGATCTACCATTCTGGGGTCTGGAGGACATTGGCCTTCCTCTCACAGCTCCACTAGGCAGTGCCCCAGTAGGGACTCTGTGTTGGGTCTCCAACCCGACATTTCCCTTCCACACTGCCCTAGCAGAGGTTCTCCATGAGGGCCCTGCCCTGCAGAAAACTTTTGCTTGGGCATCCAGGCATTTCCATACATCTTCTGAAATCTAGGCAGAGGTTCCCAAACTTCAATTCTTGATTTCTGTGCACCATGTGGAAGGCTCAACACCACGCGGAAGCTTCCAAGGCTTGGGGCTTCCACCCTCTGAAGCTAAAGCCTGAGCTCTAGGCTAGCTCCTTTCAGGCTCCTTTCAGCTGGGACACAGGGCACCAAGTCCCTAGCCTGCGCATAGCACAGGGACCCTGGGCCCACCCATGAAACCACTTTTTCCTCCTAGGCTCCAGGCCTGTGATGGGAGGGGCTGCCATGAAGGTCTCTGACATGGCCTGGAGACATTTTCCTCATGGTTTTGGGGATTAACATTTGGCTCCTTGCTACGTATGCAAATTTCAGCAGCTGGCTTGAATTTCTCCTCAAAAAATGTGTTTTTCTTTTTTACATCATCAGGCTGCAAATTTTCTGAACTTTTATGCTAGTTTTCCCTTTTAACATGGAATGCTTTTAACAGAACCCAAGTCACCTCTTGAATGCTTTGCTGCTTAGAAATTTCTTCTGCCAGATACCCTAAAAAACCTCTCTCAAGTTCAAAGTTCCACAAATCTCTAGGGCAGGGGCAAATGCCAACAGTCTCTTTGCTAACACATAACAACAGTTACCTCTGCTCCAGTTCCCAACAAGTTCCTCATCTCTATCTGAGATTACCTCAGTCTGGACCTTATTGTTCATATCACTATCAGCATTTTTGTCAAAGCTATTCAACAAGCCTCTAGGAGGTTCTAAACTTTCCCACATTTTCCTGTCTTCTTCTGAGCCCTCCAAACTGTTCCAACCTCTGCCTGTTACCCAGTTCCAAAGTCACTTCCACATTTTCAGGTATCTTTTCAGCAACAGCCCACTCTACTCGTACCAATTTACCGTATTAGTTCATTTTAACACTGCTGATAAAGACATACCCGAAACCAGGATCAAAGAGAGGTTTAATTGGACTTACAGTTCCACATGGCTGGGGAGGCCTCAGAATCATGGCGGGAGGTGAAAGGCACTTCTTACATGGCAGTAGCAAGAGAAAAATGAGGAAGAAGCAAAAGTGGAAACCCCTGATAAACCCATCAGATCTCGTGAGACTTATTCACTATCAAGAGAATAGCACAGGAAAGACCAGCCTCCATGATTCAATTACCTCCCCCTGGGTCCCTCTCACAACATGTGGAAATTGTGGGAGATATAATTCAAGTTGAGATTTGGGTGGGGACACAGCCAGACCCTATCAATTCTCATGTAATGCAAAGATCCTCTCCTGTTTCAACGTTGCAGTGTTATTCTCCCAGGAAAGGCAGAACCTCTGAACACAGTGTTTACCTACTTTTTACTCTGAGGTTTGCCCAACAAGATTTCATTTTCAAATGGGAGCACTTGCTTAACAAATCTACTAAATAGTCATGAAAAGCACTACAGCTGCCACCTTCTAAATGACAGGTGTTTCTTTCATGATCAACGTTTTATGCCAAATGCAAGGAACTTCCCCTCTGGCTGCCCCTCCTCACATTTTTGCCATCTCCTATCAGTCTCCCCAGATCTGGCCCATCCTTCACAGTCCCATTCTTGTTCATTCAGCCCCTATGTTCTTCTCACTCTGTTGCTTGTGCTTGATTCCATTTATTCTGGTGAGAATGATCAAATCAGAGAGAATTCCTGGCTGGGCTCTAATACTCACCTCCAGCAGTGAAAAGCCCATTCTGTGCAGGTAGGCTCCAGGTATCTGCTGAAAGCCTGCTCTGGAATGGGAATGGTCAGTGTATTACAAAGGAGGGTGCAAGGAGTGGAGTGAACTGTTCACTGTTTTTCTATGGAACTTTAATTCAATCAGGGAATACTTGACTTGAAACAAATGCTAGCTGAAACAGTTGTATTTCATTTTGTCTTTATTATTTTTTAAAACTTTGTTGACAACCCCAGAAAGAAGATTTGGGGGATGGGATTGATCTGTTCTGACCAGAATGCTGAATCCCAGTGATTTCCCCAGATTAAACCAGGCTCCAGGAAGACAGCAATTTTCTCATTGCTGCAGTATCTCAAAAACACTAAAACAGCAAGTTTATTGAATGCCTATTTTGGAGCAAGGCTAGTGGGAAATGGAAAGAGACAAAGATGAAAAAGACATAATCTATGTCCTCCAGGAGTTTACAAGCTAATGAGAGAACCAGCCATGTAAATATGGACACAAAGTGGATTAGATGTTTATTATATAATATGGTCAAAGTGTGGTCCCCATGGGTCTCTGAGACCCTCTTGAAGGGTTGAAAGGTCAAAACTATTTTCATAATTATACTAAGACATTACCTGACTTTTCCAGAGGCTACAGGATGTATGCTAATGCCACTGCCCTGAATGCTAATGGAATGTATGCTTATGTATTCTTGAGCTTTAGAAAAAAATCCTCAGTCTTAATTTCTAATGCATAAATTGCAATAGCAATATCAATAGGTAAAACCTACACAGGCAAAAGTTCTTTGAGGTCCTTGGAAATTATTAAGAGTATACAAGGGTCCTGAGACCAAAAATTTGAGAACTGGTAAGATTTAATGCATCAACTACCATTACACAGTGTCCTTGTTTCTCATCAATGCATTTTATATAGCAATTATTTTATCTAATCCCATGAAACTCACTTTATTGGATGCTTTTGCCATATCCTTATTTTCTAGCATCGTAGCTATTAGGTCATCTAATTATTAATCTGTTTGTGTCTTTGGGTTTAAATGTGTCTTTTGAGGCCACACAATGTTGGACTTCATTTTTTAATGGAGCCAACAATCAGCAATTGTTAATGCATTTGCTTTGTGTTCTATTACTCTGCAGTTTATCTTACTCATTGTTATTTTTGCTTTCTTTAAATTTATGTTTTCTTAATGGACTTTAAAATTCTTTATTTATTTTTTATGTCAGACAATAAACATCCCTAGTCTGCCCATCTTTCTATCATTTCAACATCATCATATTTCCAAATAACTTTTCATTGTTTCCTATAATTTTACTATTAATAGTATAGGATTAAGAAAATAAACCTTATCTGGGTTCTGGCTGGCACTGCCTTCCCTCTAGGGATGAAAATGGAGTGTAGTCTGTAATATATCCTGGTATCATAAATATATTTATAAAATTATACAAATGTAGCTTGCAGTTCTAAAGGCATGTAATCTAATTTTTACTTGAATTTTATCTTTTTTCTCTTTTTGTCCTTCATAGACCTCGAGCTCTGTCTAGCCCTCAACTGTTCTCAAATCTCCATTGTTTTCTACAAGTGACCCTCACAGCTGTGGGCCTTTGTTGACAAATTGTTTCATCTCCTCTGGGTCTTAAATTATTTTCTCTTACTCTAAAGTGAAAATTTGATGAATGTTTCCAGATACTGCACTTGGAATCATAACTTAATTTCCCTTAACCTTGTGTAAATTCTGTCCCCCCACTACTCCCAACTCCTATCCCTCCTCCAAAGCACTGATACTTATTATCACATTTAAATTTTTTCCCCGCTCTACTGATAACTTACAGAATGCAGGACTGCATTGTGATGGGGTAATTTCCATGAGTTGATTGGTTGGTTTTGAGTTGAAAAACTTAACAATGATACATCTTAAATTCTTTCTTTGAGGATTATTCCTTAATGAATTCGTGCTACGGACATACTGAGGTGGTTATTTTTATATTTCCCTGATAATAAATTCTAAATTGCTAAGGGTTTCTTACCACCCTCGTCCTTTTACTGTTACTAGATCTATTTTTAGCTGGTGTGGGCGTCCCCAGCTAGTTTCACTTGCCTAATGCTAGTTCTTTTTTCTTCTACATCAGGTCGCCTCTTCCTAGCATCTTCTCCATGTTTCTTGTTGCTCTACAGCATTTACAAGACCCAGTTTAATAGTTTAGTGCCTTTTTTGTCACTCATTATTTCTTCTTTGTTCTCTGTTAAAATAATAAGTGTATGATCCATTGCACTTGCCTTAGAGTCTTGAACCAGTCTTGGATTTCCCGCCATCTGGGTTCTGGCTGGCTTGCAATTTCTCCTTTGATGTTGTAATACTTTTTCATTGAACTTGAGTGTGGGGCTTATAGAGCTTCTTTGCTTTCATTATTTTTTCCCAAAATGTGCACATTTTTTTTCTTAAGCTTATTTTGCTGTTTTGTGCTGTTATTTTTAATTGCTTCCCACTGGGTGGGGGGGTAGGGGGACTGAGAGTGAGATTTGGCTTGAGTTTGGCTCTCTTTGCTATTACTCACATTTCCCCCCAGAAGCCCTACATGCACTCCTCTCTCTCTGTCTTTGACAAATTACTTTTGAAAGATCATTGATCCCTGGCGTAAATGGTGTTAAGAGTAAGATGGACTCGGGTAGGGATGCTCAGGAATCCAGTCCTGTACAGTCATGAGCTTGGCCATCTGGAAGTCTCCTCTTGCTCAATGAAATGGAGTAAACATTGTCCATTATGAAATCCACCACACAGGCTGCCAGGGACGAATGGGATCCCACCCAAAGCCAATCGCTGCTCTGACAGGGAAATTGGCTAGCACTGCCTGAGACTACTCCAGCCTCCCCCGTCCCTGATGTCACAATTCAGAGGCTGCTGCCTGCTTAGGAGGTTGTAGAAAGCTCTGTAGGTTCTCTCTGTGTGTCCTACAGGAGTCTTCAGGCCAGCTCCCTGTCGGATGGCTTTTATGAAAAAATATCTCCTCCCCATTCTGGGGCTCTTCATGGCCTACTACTACTATTCTGCAAACGAGGAATTCAGACCAGGTAAGTACCCATGCGTCTCATTTTGGAGGAATAGGTTTAAAAAACACAGGGGTGCTTGAGTGTTCCTGAGGACCAAGATGTGTTCTTGATCCTCAAAGTTGGTGAAAATGAGGGAACCCTGAGTTAAGATGGTATTTTTGTGTCCTCCAGCTACAGGCTGTGGACAGGGGGGACTGTGTAGGAAGGGTAATCGTGTAGCCAAAATCTAGCCAAATAGGCCATGCTTTATTTGGCACCCTTAATGGAAAGCAGTTTCAAATCTTCTACAAAAATGAGAGTAATACCCAAATTCACAACTCAGCAGCTAATTGGGCTCTATGAAGAGACTGATAAGTGGGAGGCAAAAAAAAAAAAAAAAAAAACTGGAGATGATGACTACATAGAAGTGAGGGAAAATCCCTGGAATTTCTATGAACACATGTGTTTTGATTCCTTGTTAAATGTACTTTCAATTGAGCAAAATTGAAAGAGTCCAGAAATGTCTGGAACTCCAGCATTTTAGCTGAACCATGACTTTTCTGGCTTCATCCTATGATCTCTTTCCATGGAGGTTTTTAGAAATGACAGTAGGGAGGCTGTCAGCCCAAACCTCCCACTTCAGAGCATGTTTATGAAAGACCTGGCCTGTTCCCACAGTGATTTACGGAGTTTGTGACAAACTGATCTGGGCTCATAACCTTTAAGTTACAAATTGCGATAAGCATGCCTATATCCAGAGAGGGAGAAGGAATTTTGCTGCCAACTTGGGTATGGTCCTCACTTCCTTTTGGGGTTCCCCAGAGATGCTCCAAGGAAAGAAAGTGATTGTCACAGGGGCCAGCAAAGGGATCGGAAGAGAGATGGCTTATCATCTGGCGAAGATGGGAGCCCATGTGGTGGTGACAGCGAGGTCAAAAGAAACTCTACAGAAGGTGAGGGTTCTATGCTCGCAGATATGTGTACCGTCACATGCTCAGATGTGTTCTTATATATGCTCACATATACACAGAAGCTAGCATATCGCAGATCTATATACAGAGGCACATGCACACACACAGACACTTAATTTTGCACTCTCATATATAGATTCAAACACCAAAAAACCCACAGGAATATAAAAGTATGCATTTAAGCATTCATTCATGTGTGTGTGTGTAATATATTCTGCAACAGAGTCCTTGAGTTATATATGCTCACAGACATGCCTAGTCACACACATTTACACATGGAACTACAGATACATACGGATGTTTTCAAAAACTGAAATCCCAGTACCTGCTTATGAATACATATCCTCATACCCATGCAGACTCCCAGACACATGCCCTCTCATGGACTCACAAACCCAAGGATGTACAAACATTCACAAACCTAGAGCTACCCACATAGTAACCAGCATCTACACTCATAATGCCCTCAGAAATGCCTATTCACAGAAGCCATGAGCATAAATCATGAACTTAAACCCCAGCACTGGGATGATTTATCCATTTGAACCCCACCAAGTTCCAGAAAATATTTCAGACAGAGGACGATGATCATGAGGGTTATATTAGGCAACACACACACAAACATACTTACCATTTCTTACCTAAACAGGGCTGTGAGCAATCTCTCATTTAAGCCCCCCGTTACTTCAGAGACTACCCCCCAAAAATCTGCAGCTAAGACTGATGCCATTTCTGCTGTATCACTGCAGGTGGTATCCCACTGCCTGGAGCTTGGAGCAGCCTCAGCACACTACATTGCTGGCACCATGGAAGACATGACCTTCGCAGAGCAATTTGTTGCCCAAGCAGGAAAGCTCATGGGTGAGGCTGTTTCTCTTACCTCCTCCTCTGAACTTTGCCCTTGGGGTCACCAAGAGCTTTTGGGAGGAGAATGGGAAAGGTATCAACCCCAGATGATTTCTTAATATAGCCATCTCTTGCAGGAGGACTAGACATGCTCATTCTCAACCACATCACCAACACTTCTTTGAATCTTTTTCATGATGATATTCACCATGTGCGCAAAAGCATGGAAGTCAACTTCCTCAGTTACGTGGTCCTGACTGTAGCTGCCTTGCCCATGCTGAAGCAGAGCAATGGAAGCATTGTTGTCGTCTCCTCTCTGGCTGGTAAGTGGGACAGGGACATATGTGGAAGGTAGAAGAAAAAAAAAAATGCCAGGGATGATGCCAGGCTCTGAAGTAGACATAAATTTTTATCAGTTTCCATGCAGAGAAGTAATGAGGGATTGGTCAAGGTAAGTGGGCTACAAAATTCTTTTAAGTAACAGAGAAAAAGCAGTAGCTCTGAGTGCTCATTGGAAGACTGAATTGTTTTCTACAAAGTAAGGTCAAAGGGACTTGAGGGGCTGCTGGAGGTACAGCCTGTCCTGGTCCTAAGGGAGAGACCTAGTTACAATATTAACTTGAAGTTGAAATGTTCATAGTAATATTAAACAAAAGCTGATTAACAGCTTACTCATATGCATGAATGGGCAGATGTACTGATAAGAGACTTGTAGGGGGGTGATTTGTGGACTCAATGAGAGGCACGCATCCTGAGTAAAGGAGACACTGTTACAAACTAGTGACACCATAAAAAATGAAGGATTGGTCAAGGTAGATGGGCTACAAAATTCTTTTAAGTAGCAGAGAAAAAGCAGTAGTTCAGAGTGCCTATTGGAAGCCTGAATTGTTTTCTACAAAGGAAGGTTGAAGGGACTTGAGAGGCTGCTGGAGGTACAGCTTGTCCTGGTCCTAAGTGAGAGACCTAGTCACAATGGATAAAAAGGACTTTGCTTCCTCCATGACCAAAAGGTTGGTGAAGTTATGTAAATGTGAAGGTACAACTGAGAAGTTAACTGTTTTAACAACACACAGGTGTCTGATAAGTGGGCTAAGCTAAAGCTAAATAAAATGAACAACAAGAAAAAAAAAAAAGATGAACAGACCTGCCTATAGTGGGTGTATTCTCTAAAATTTGAACATGTTAACATGAAAAGATCAATTTAAACAACCAGCTGGGTAGGGAGGAAATGTGTCCAGAGAAATGGTCATGAAAAGATATCTGTGGGATCAAGAGAGGTCCCTGGTGTTCTGGATGGTGGTAGCATCAGAAGCCATCACCAGTAAAAAACCAGTGAGTTCCCAGCTTGGGACATTTCTAGGCCCATTTTTATCATAGATCCAGGAGACAAGTTCCACACATCTTTGTTGATTAGTCAGTTAGAAGGATGTGGCTGGAAAGTGCAAACACCAGGATCAAAATCCGCCATCTAAATGTTGTTCCTGGCAAAATAAAAACAAATAACCTAGAGGACTCTGTAAACTGTTAAGCACTTCACAAACATTCTTATTGAAACTAATAGCACCATCTGTATCGTAAAGAGTTCTCCTTTCTGGCCCAGGGACGGCCTGCATAGTGATTGGATAAAGGGGCAGTGTGTCTGTGCTACCCGCCAAACAGTGTGATTGATATGCATCCCGGTGCTTCCCAGACAACACACACTCCCCACCCCTCCCCAGACACAGACTCTCTCTGGGCTGGAAGAAAGGGAGAGCTTCCAGATGCATACTGAGTGGGAGGGTGCTGGGCACATCCCCAATCCATCCCAGGGCATTGGACAAAATCCTCACATCAGTCATGATGTAGGTGGCTTTAATGATTTCAGCTGATTAAATAATACATTCACTCTAGGCAAAGGATGTATTTCACCTTTGACGAATGTAACTTTCTAGAATGTACCCATGATCTAAATGTGCTCAGAAGGACTAAGAATTACTGTTGAGCCCAAGGACGTGATGAAATTCTGATAATCTCTGTTTCCCCATATCTCCTACACTTATTGAATGACACTTGGTAATTTCCATGAACTCTGGGAGGTAGGAAATCTAGCTGGATGAGTATCTTTGGTGTTTATTGCTTGTGTAGCCAAAAGATTCCAGCTTTTTTGCCTTGAAACCTGTCTATGAACTTGCAAAGTACAGACACATTGCTGTCTTGCCGCAACTGAAGAATATTCTCTGCTTTATGATGTATTCTTTTAATCAGTCAGTAAACATGTTCATTAATCCTTCCTCTTTAAAATCTAAACTCTATAAATATGGGATGCTAAACATCAAGTTGATCTTAAGGTCAGCCAAACAGTACTGGGATGGAGTTTTAATCATTTCTTCTAGGGAATACCTTAAGTTGTTTATTGAGTTTCAGTGATAAAGAATTGTTTTTTCTCCACAATGCATTTCTGGGTATTGCATTACATGGGAATACTATACTTCTAATATGTTCCTTAAAGGCTTGGTTACCTCTGTAGCATTAACAGAGACAATACTGCTGCTTCTGGGAACCTCCTTGTAGTCCACATCTATCCACTATTCACCACCTTTTCTTGGCACCTATTGAGCAAGTTTCTTGTATGTGTAACATCCCGTTACATTGATTAGCCTCCTCTCCTTCCACCACTTGCTAGTTAGGATGTAAGTTCAGCTACTGTAACGAAGACCCGAATTTACAATGGCTTAAGCAAATCTAAATTTATTTATCTCACACAAAACACCCTGGAAAGGCAGTCCAGGGCTGATATGGTAGTTCTGTCCTATGAGGCTGTCCAGGAGGCCTTCTATCTCAGAACCACCATTCCTAGAGTGCTTGTTTACACCTGCATGTCCAAGATGGCTCATTGGCATGTCTGAATTCTAACTCAAGAAAATGAAAAAAGAAGGATACCACCTGGAAGGTGTACACTTTTCTTCTGCCACAGCTGGCTGCAATTGTTATCTTTATTCAAAGGGAACATGTGTCCAACTAAAAATCAGAAGTTCTATTTGTGTAAAAGACACTGATATTGATAAACAACTAGCAATCTCTCCCACATCACCCATGCTAAAAAACACATAAGACTAGAAAAAAGTATACCCTCCAGGCCATCCCACATGTGAAACACACACACACACACACACACACACACACACACACAAAAGACTCATTCCCTCTCACATTCAAGGTCCATCACAAAAAACAAAGTCCTTCCATCCGGCAGTGCGTGCAGGGGACAGTGGGGTAGGAGAAAGAATGGAAAGAGAATACCTAAATAGCATTTGTGAAACAAACCAAAGTAGAAATATTAATACTTGAATATGACTAAAAAAAATCACTGGAGTGGGCAGAGAACATTTGAAAACATCTGGAAAAAAGTTTATCTGACATTAGTCAAAATAGGTCATCTTAGGTTCAATATTAGAAAAGTAAAGTTGGTTTCATTTTCGGGCTCCTGGGCTTGGTGAATCCCATCACTGTGGTGTGTGTCATCAGTTGCACACATGGCAGCTAGAACTGAGCATCTAAGGCCATTTCTCCACCTGCTTTATGCCCCTGAGAGGAATCACGGACAAACCCTGTCTTCCTCTGCTCCTTTCTCCTCTCAAAATCTACTTAGCCCCCTACCTCCTATGAAGTCTTTTTCAGAACTCACCAGAGCCATTTCAATGTTTCTTCTTTGTCTTTATCTACTATATTTTGGTAAGTTAACTTTAGAAATCCAACTTCCTCATCATTTCTCTTTTTTGGGTTTATTGGTAATCCAAATACTACTAATACTACTCATAACTACTAATAACACAAATGTTAAACATACTCGGCAAGCATACGTGTAGGGATAGTAATCCTTCTGGATCAAGGAAAATGCAAGGTATATTTTGAAGTGAAACTGGACATCACAAAAGACTCAGTTGCTTTAAATATTCAAAATGAAAATAGATCAGAAGGAATAAAAGAACCTTGTCAATAACCTTTGAATCAGACTTCTCTTGAGAAGCTCCATAAGTGTCTCCAGTTAACTATTCACTTTTCTCCAAGTAAATCTTCTTAAAAAATCAACTTTCCCTATATATAGATAGTCTTATTCAAATGTATTCCTTTCCTGTTTTACTCATTCGCAGCATTGTTTCATACTGTTTTTTAATGTACGTGTGCAGTCTTTCAGGCACTTTGAGTTGAGTTGACTAGCCGGGGGCAAACATTCATAAGACAGTGCTCTGTGGGAAAACTCAAACCAACAGATGAAGTCACTTGCTGGATCTTAACCTATTTGTCAGTGGAGGTCTGCCTGTGTGGTCTAAATCTATTTCAAAAATTCAACATTATGAAGTGGGGGGAGAAAAACAGGTTTTTCAACTACACATATCAACTAACAGGACTTGGAAGACCTATAATGATGTTTTGCATAGACAAGGATATACAGATGTTAATGTCATCCCTGCCTTCAGTTCTGGCATACCCACTCCTTCCTGAAAGGTGGGCCAATGTTTCAATGTATAGCTGTGCCTCAGGTTATTGGGGGTGGGGGGATCCCAAACTCCAGATTATGAACGGGCCTCAGAACCAGAGTGGAAAGGGGCAATTTATCCCTTGCCACAGTTGTTCTCATTTTTCTAAGAAAAAATGCCGCTTTACCCTTAAATCCAATTACCTCAGAAATAATCTTCAGGAACCAGGATTTCTGAGGTGAGTGGAAGTGTTTATCCATGTGAACGTAAGCATTTACATGAGGGATGGGGAGTGGCGATGGCTGCACAGGGTTGAGCTGTGTGTTGGGGGGATGGGTAGAAGTACGCAGAGGTGAGGTATGTGTTTGTGTAGACGTGTCATCCATAGGGCCTATAAGAATGCCAAGAAGGAGATCAGAGTAAAATCAGCAACCTGGGCATAAAAATTCCAGAAAATTTATTCTATAAAATATAATCATTGTTGTCTAAATTTAAGAGATCGTGTTTGGGCAACACTGTGAGGATTGAGACAGAATCTGCTAGATTTATCTAGGAATTCAGTTCTGCATCAGCCCCAAAAAGAAAGGAGTGGGGGAGATTTGAAAGGGAGGAAGACTCTTTGATGAAGACAGTGACAATTTAGTGCAGGTTGAGAATAATATAATGCTACCCGTAATCATTGTTGCTTCATGTTCTTTTCTGGAAAGGCTCGGCTGAACTTAGGTAGTTGAGGTTACTTATCCCTGCTAGACCACAGGTTTCATTCAAGTGCACTTGTGGATGGAAATAGCAAGGTTCTACCATCATTTGTATCTTTACGTTTCCTTACCAAGGAGTTTGAGAAGGCTTACAACAAATACATTCTATTTGGAAAAACACAAATAGAAAACTAGGTCTTAAGAAAAGGAGAATATAAATGTGCCCAAATTAGACTCAGTATAGATCCTGTGCTTAAGCTTCAATATTGGCACTTGAATTTCTTAACAATAAGAAAAAGAAAAGAAAAAGGACAAGATCAGTGTACAGCCAGCACTCTGCATGCCTGGGTTCTACATCTGTGGATTCAACCAAATGTGGATCAAAAAAAAATGGGGGGAAATAAATTAACAGAGTTCTAATAAGCAAAACTTGAATTTGCTACATGCTGGGTACTATGTTGAATTCACAGAAATGATATAAGGCATAGGCACCAAATTAGGTATTATAAGTAATCTAAAGATGATTTAAAGTACACAGGAGGATGTGCATAGGTAATATGCAAATACTACATCATTTTATATATGAGGGACTTGAGTATCTATGGATTTGGGTATCCACAGAAGATCCTGGAACCAATCCCCCTTTGAATACTGAGAGATGACTGTACTCAGAGTAGGAAAAATGCATGATTCTTATATTCATTTAATTGTTTATTTTTGTGTATTTTTTAAAGTCTAGGTCTTTATTTGTCATTTTGTCTAAGGTAATTTGGAAATATGTACCAGAAGCCTTAAGAATGTTTCCTTTGGCCAGGCGCAGTGGTTTACGCCTGTAATCCCAGCACTTTGGGAGGCCAAGGCAGACGGATCACGAGGTCAGGCATTTGAGACCAGCCTGGCCAAGATGGCAAAAGCCCGTCTCTACCAAAAATACAAAAATTAGCCGGGCGAGGTGGTGGGTGCCTGTAGTCCCAGCTACTTGGGAGGCTGAGGCAGGAGAATCGCTTGAACCTGGGAGGTGGAGGTTGCAGTGAGCCGAGATCGCACCACTGCACTCCAGACTGGGGCAATATAGTGAAACTCCATCTCAAAAAAAAAGAATGTTTCCTTTATTTCACCCAGTCTAAGTGCAAGAATATATCAAGGAAATAGCTATTAAATTAGTCACAGATTTAGGTACAAAAACATTTGTTGTAGGATTTTTTAAATTGCAAAACATTGGAAGTAACCTAAATGTCTGGCAGTAGGAAAATAACTAGTTGTACTATATATTTATATTTATATCTGTATCTGTATCCATAGCTGTATCTATATCTCTGGAAGGACATTTTCCAAAATATTAGCATGATTATATCTAAATTACAGAACAATGAATGATTTTTGTTTTTAGCTTCATATTTTTCTTCATTTTCCAAATTTTCATTGTGTGTGTATGCATGCATGTGTAACTTTTATAATCATAGAAACATTTCAATAAGTTGTTGGGTGTGTTGTTTTTTCCATTGCTTTGTGCCTCTTTTCATAACCTTTTATGAGAAATTCATTTCAGAAATTATTTGCTTCTTGCTGTGCTTCCTTCTTTTAAATATAATCATATACACACACCCTCAATTTCTTCAATGGATTGGTTCCAGGACCTCCCACAGATACCAAAATCCATGGATGCTCAAGTCCCTTGTATGAAATGGCATAGTATCTGCATATAACTTAGGCACATCCTCCTGGATACTTTAAATCCTCTCTAGATGACTTATAATACCTAATACAATGTAAATGCTATGTAAATAGCTGTTATATTGTATTATTTAAGGAATAATGACAAGATTTTAAAAGTGTGTATGTGTTCAATACAGACACAAAATTATTTCCTGAATATTTTTAACCCATGGTTGCTTAAATCCAAAGACGCAAAATCCATGGATACAGAGGGCTGCCTATATTGATTTCCATAAGTAGAAATTTGCTTAAGTACTTCAAGAGGAATGGTCAGGGAGAGAGAGCATAACTTCATGTCTGAGAAGTTTATTCTATAAACAAACTTGAACAAGTGCTTCCCAAATATACTCATTCATTCATTCATTCAAAAAATATGCATGAAGGTCAACTCTGAGTCAGGCACTATGCCAGATGCCAAGGCTATGGCAGGGAGCAAGAAGGCCAAGGCAAGATACCTGTTGTGCACCCACATTCTAGTGTAAGCCAAGTTGTTACTGTATTGTTTATAGTTGTAAAAACAAACAAACAAACAAAAACTAGAAACAACCTAAGTAGCAACAAACATAAAACAAACACTCTAAGGGATAAAAATCATGTTACAGATCTATTGGAAGGGTTTTTATTTCTTGGTATACAAAATAGTAGTATGTTTTACAACTGCTTGCCTCTGAAAGCTGTTGAAATACAGCATTTTACTCACAGTGATTAGGCTGTGCTCTCCTTAAAGGCAGGCACATTGTTCATTCATCTCTGATTCCCTGGAGCTAACAAATTTTGCAAATAATCAACACATTCTTCTTGAATGAACAAATGATAAAATAGCTTGCTAGTACCTGGATTTCTGGCTTCATGTCTTTCCTTAAACTGTGTTGGAGACTCACAGTCATATTTTCCCTCCATATTTCCTTTCTGTTTCTAGGCCTTCGTGTCAGGGCTTCTTAATAAGGATACTATTGGCCTTTGGTGAGGGACAATTCTTCATTGTGTGGGACTGTCTGATGCATTGTCGAGCATTTTTTAGCATCCTTGGCTCTGAATAATTCAATCTAAAAGCCACTCATAGAGGCCAAGCAAGATAGGCATCTTCACCGGGGAGGAAGGTGGCAGCACAGATTGAAAAACTTGAGCAGGATGGGACAGGTTTGTGTCACAGAGCAGGTTTGGGACATCAGAGACTGAGTGAGATGAGGATGGCATCCTCACATGGGGCAGCAGTGGTGGCCTAGTGTGAAGTTTCAGAGCCTAAGTGGGCCAAGGAGGCTCTTCATGTGGCACCTGGCACAGGGCATCAGAACTAAGGGGAGTGATGAGAGCATCTGCAAGAGGGCCTGCCATGGGCAGCCCGACATAGGGTAAAGAAGGCATTCACCAGGCATTCATGTAGCCTGGCACTGGGGTGTCAGAACCTAGGTGGGATGAAGAGGCCAAATGAAGAATGATCACATACAGGAGCATTAATCACATAAGTAATACATATTGCAGATCTTGGAAGCCCCAGGTTCTCACTATCAATGTTACAAATATGAAAAGGAAGAAAATGAGAATGAATCCTCTAGTGTTGGATTGCAATTGGAAGTGTGGGTATGAATTAATAGTTGTTTAATACACAAGGACAGATATATAAATATAGATGTGTGTCTACATATACATGCATGTATTCACTCACTCTGTCCACTGACAGGACCTGGGAGCACACTTGGTGCCCAGATCTTGTTTTCTAAATATCATTCTCCACTAAAAAAAAAAACAACAACAACAAACCACCAAGGCTTCTTAGAGAAATGACTGATTCCAGGGCAGTGGCAAGAAAGGTACAAGATAAGCCTGAAAATCTTGTTCTGCCAGTAAGTACAGAACTGCTCAAAGGATAATAGGCACACATTACCAGGACACAGAGGCCAACTTTAAAGGGATCCCACTAGCCAAACCTAGAACCATTGAGGCATCAAAACAAATAGTAGTAACAGATTATCACCCATTGCAACAATAGGAAATAAGTCCATGAAGTCATAAATAAATGCATGAATAAATAAATCAAGAGAGGGGAAGGATTTTTCATGAAGTGGAAAGCCAACTGATATGAAATGATGAACTTAGAAAATCACCATTTGGTAACCATAATTGTAATAATTCAGCCAGGAAGCAACAAAGGATGCTAAAAGTAGTGGGTAAAAGTTAAACAAGGAAGACGGTATTTACATAGTCTCAAAGTACTACCCTGTGCAACAACAACCAAAAACACCACAAATGACCTGATTCAAAAATGGGCAAAGGATATATGACAGACCCACAGCTAACATCATACTGAATGGGGAAAAACTGGAAACCTTTCCTCTAATAATTGGAACTAAACAAGGATGCCCACTTTCACCACTCTTATTCAACACAGTACGAGAAGTCCTAGCCAGGGCAATCAGGCAAGAGAAAGAAATAAAAGACATCCAAACTAGAAAACAGGAAGTCAAATTTTCACTCATTCACATGACATGATTTTATAATCAGAAAAGCCTAAACGCTCCACAAAAAAACTCTTATAACTGATAAACAAGTTCAGTAAAGTTGCAGTATACAAAATCAACATACAAAAATCAACAGTGTCCCCATATGCTAACAGCGATCAATCTGAAAAAAAGAAAAACCATTTACAATAGCTACAGAAAAAAAAAAACCACCTAGGAATAAATTTAACCGAGGAGGTGAAAGACCTCTACAGGAAAAACTATAAAACACCCATTAAAGAAATGGAAAAGGACACAAACAAATGGAAATATATCCCATGCTCATGGATTAGAATAATTAATGTTGTTAACATGACCATAATACCAAGAGCAATCTATAGATTCAGTGCAATTCCTATCAAAATACCAATGACATTTTTCATAGAAATAGAAAAAAAAAACCTAAAATTTGTAGGGACGAAATAGCCAAAGCAATCCTAAGCAAAAAGAACAAAACTGCAAGTAATACATTACCTGACTTGAAAATATATTAAAGGCTATAGTAACCAAAACAGCATGGTATTGGTAGGAAAATAGACAAAACAATGGACAAGAATAGAGAACCCAGAAATAAACCGATGTATTCACAGCCAAGTGATTTTCAACAAAGGCACCAAGAACATGCATTGGGGAAAGGACAGTCTCTTCAATAAATGGTGCTGGAAAAACTGAATATTCATATGCAGAAGAATGAAACTAGATCTCTATCTCTCACCATATACAAAAATTGATGCCCAACAGATTAAAGACTTAAATGTAAGACCTGAAACTATGAAACCAGAAGAAAATGTAGGGAGAACATTCCATGACATTGGTCTAGGCAAATATTTTATGACTAAGACCCCAAAAGCACAGGCAAAAACAAAAATAGACAAAGAGGACTATATTAAACTAAAAACCTTCAGCATAGAAAAGGAAACAATCAACAGAGTGAAAAGACCACCTGTTTAACGGGAGAAAATATTTGCAAAATATTCATGCGACAAGGACTAATATCCAGAATATACAAGGTACTCAAATAACTCAATAGGAAAAAAAACTATCTGATTTTAAAAATGGGCAAAAGACCTGAACAGACATCTCTCAAAAAAAGACATAGAACATATAAATGGTTAACAAGTATATGAAAAATGCTCAGCATCACTAATCATTAAGAAAATGCAAATTAAAACTACTATGAGATATCATCTTATCAAATTGCTATTATCAGAAAGACAAAACATAGCAGATACTATTGTGGATGCAGAGAAAAGGGAACTCTTATATACTGTTAGTGGGAATGTAAATTATTACAGTCACTATAGAAAATAGTTTGGAGATTTCTCAAAAAACTAAAAATAGAACTATCATATGATCCAGCAATCCTGTTATTGGGTATTTATCAAAGAGAAAGAAAATTGGCCAGGTGAAATGGATCATGCCTCTAATCCCAGCACTTTGGGAGGCCAAGGTGGACAGATCACTTGAGGTCAGGAGTTAAAGACCAGCCTGGCCAACATGGTGAAACCCCACCTCTACTAAAAATACAAAAATTAGCCAGGCTTGGTGGCCTATGCCTGTAATCCCAGCTACTTGGGATTATAGCTACTTGGGAGGCTGAGACAGGAGAATCACTTGAACCCAGGAGGCAGAGGTTGCAGTGAGCCAAGATAGCACCACTGCACTCCAGCCTGGGAGACAGGGTTAGACTCCATCTCAAAAAAAAAAAAAAAAAAAAAAGGAAATCAATATATCAAAGAGATATATGCAACTCCAGTCATTTGCAGTAATGTGGATGGAACTGAAAGTCATTATGCTAAATGAAATAAGTCAGACACAGAAAAACAAACACTGCATGTACTCACTCATATGAGGGAACTAAAAAGGTTTATCTCATGAAGGTAGAGAGTAGAATGATAGTTTACAGAGACTGGGAAGAATGTCAGCGTGTTGGCAGGAGGGTGAAGAGGGGTTGGCTACTGATTACAAATATGCAGTTAGAAGGAATAATTTCTAATGTTCGATAGTAGAGTGACTATAGTTAGTAACTATGTATTGTACATTTCAAAATAAGTGAGGACTTGAAATGTTCTCAACACAGAAATAATAAATGCTTGTGATGATGGATATCCTAAATACCCTTACTTGATCATTACATATTCTATGGATGTAACAGAATATCACATACTACCCATAACTATATACAAATATTACGTATCAACTTAAATTTTTAAAAAAATTTAATGGGCAAAGGACTTGAATAAACATTTTACCAAAGAAGACAAACAAGTGGCCAGTGAGCACATGAAGAGATGCTAAACATCATTAATCATTAGGGAAATGCAAATTGAAACTACAATGAGATACCACCTCACAGCACTAGGATGGCTACTATCCCCCACACCCCCAAAAAACAGAAATAGCAAGTATTGGTGAGAATGTGGGGAAATTGGAATGCTGTGTACTGTTGATGGGAATGTAAAATGGTACAGTCACTATGAAAAACAGTATGGCAGTACCTCAGAAAATTTAAAATAGAATTATCATGTGATCCAGCCATTCTATTTCTGGGTATATACACAGAAGAATTGAAAGCAGGAGGCCGGGTGTGGTGGCTCATGCCTGTAATCCCAAGGTGGGCAGATTACCTGAGGTCAGGAGTTTGAGACCAGCCTGGCCAATATGGTGAAACCCTGTCTCTACTAAAAATACAAAAATTAGCTGGGCATGGTGGCAGGTGCCTGTAATCCCAGCTTCTCAGGAGGCTGAGACAGGAGAATCACTTGAACCCGGGAGGCGGAGGTTGCAGTGAGCCAAGATCATGCCACTGCACTCCAGGCTGGGTGACACAGTGAGACTCCATCTCAAAAAAAAAAAAAAAAAGGAAAGAAAAGAAAAGAAAGCAGGGTCTCAAAGAGCTACTTGTATATCCATGTTCACAGGAACAGTATTTGTAATAGCAAAAACACTGTATGTTTCACTGTTAGCAACCCAAGTGTCTATCAGTAGATGAATGGATAAGCAAAATGTAGTACGTATATACAATGGAATATTATTCAATCTTTAAAAGGAAAGAAATTCTGACACATGCTACAACATGGCTGGACCTTGAGGACATCATGCAAAGGGAAATAAGCCAGCCACAGAAAGAGAATGAACCCTCTGGTATTGGTTTGCAATTGGAGGAAACTGTATGATTCCACTTACGTGAAGTTCTTAGAGTGGTGAAAGTTATACAAAGTTGAAAGTAGAAGGGTGGTTGCCAGGGGCTGGGAAAGGAGAGAATGTGGAGTTATTGTTTAATGGGTGTAGTTAGTTTTGCTACATGAAAAGAGTTCTGGAGATGGATGGTGGTGATGGTTGCACAGTAATATGAATGTACTGAATGCCCCCGAACTGTCCGCTTAAAAATGGTTAAGATAGGCCCCGGCGTGTGATGTTCCTCTCCCAGTGTCCATGTACTCTCATTGTTCAACTCCCACTTATGAGTGAGAACGCGCAATGTTTGAGTCCTTGTGATGGTTTGCTGAGAATGATGGTTTCCAGCTTCATCCAAGTCCCTGCAAAGGACATGAACTCATCCTTTTTTATGGCTTCATAGTATTCCATGGTGTATATGTGCCACATTTGCTTAATCCACTCTATCATTGATGGACATTTGAATTGGTTCCAAGTCTTTCCTATTGTGAATAGTGCCACAATAAACATATGTGTGCATGTGTCTTTATAGCATGATTTATAATCCTTTGGGTATATACCCAGTAATGGGATTGCTGGGTCAAATGGTATTTCTAGTTCTAGATTGGCTGGGGGAAGGACAGCATCAGGAGAAATACCTAATGTAAATGATGAGTTAATGGATGCAGCAAACCAACATGGCACATGTGTACCTATGTAACAAACCTGCATGTCATGCACACGTACCCCAGAACTTAAAGTATAATTTAAAAAATGGTTAAGATAGTTTTTTTTAAGTACCACCCGAAAAACAAACTTACTGATTATGACAGGGAAAAGAGTAATTTTACAGAAGAGAAACCTGATAGACGGCACCTGATTCAAATGATCATGGTTTATTAACATCACCAGTAATGGAATAAATTGAAAACATGTATCATTTGATGGGGTGCAACGTGAAGAACAAAAGTTACTTTTGTGAACCTGCCAAAATGCATAACCTGAATCAAATCATGAGGAAACACCGGATAAATCCAAACTGAGGGACATCCATCAATAGCGCGCTGGTAAATGTTTAACAACAAGCTATCCAGAAAGGAAGAATCAAAAGCCCTGATTTGTAGCCTTTCCATGTAATCAACACTCCCATGATGACCATATCCACATGACATTCTCTTGCTTGCAAAATTTATAAACATTTAACCACCAGCTCTCACAATCTAGTATGAGCCAGCTTCGGCATATCAGCTTGTACAAAATAACTGGCTGTACTCTCCAACAGTGCCAAGGTCATGAAAATAAAGGAAAGACTGCAGAATCATTGCAGAGCAAAGGCAACTGAAGAGTCATGACAACTAAATGCCAACTCATGATCCTCAATTGGATCCTTTTGCTATAAAGGATATTATTGGCACACATGACAAAATTTGAATAGGGTCTGTGGATTAGATAACATGGATATGTCAGTATTACTGTACTGGGTTGAATAGTGGCCCCAAAAAAGATATATCTACATCCTACCTGCCTGAACCTGTGAATGCAACCTTATTTGGACAAAGGGTCCTTGCAGATGTAGTTAAGTTAAGGATCTTGTGATGAGATCATCCTGGATTAGCCAAGTGGGCTCTTAATCCACTGCCAAATGTCCTTATAGAGTCAGGGGAAGAGAAGACACAGACAGAGAGAAGAAAAAGCCATGTAAAGATGGAAAGTAGAGATTGTGATGTAGCCACAAGGAATGCCGGCAGCCACTAGAAGCTGGAAGAGGCAAGGAAGCACTCTCCCTCAGAGTCTTTGGGGGGAATGCGGCCCTGCCAACACATTGATTTCAGACTTCTTGACTCCAGCACTGTGAGAGAATAAATTTCTGTTGTCTTAAGCCACCCAGTTTGTGGTAATTTGTTATGACAGCCCTAGGAAACTAATAAATTCCCTCATTTTGATGACTGTATTGTGATTATGTAGGACAGTGTCCCTCTGTGTAAGAAATGAACACTAAGTATTTGGGGGAGATGGGACATGAGGTCAGCAATGACCTCAATTACAGCTATTACCCTCAAATGGCTCAGCAGAAAAAAAAAATAGGTTGTGTGTACTATTCTTGCAACTTTTCTTTAAGTTTGAAATTATTTCAAAAGCAAAAAAAAAAAAAAAAAATCCCCATCCTGGGAGTCTAGTGACTTGGAGGACATATGAAAGTGAATTCTGTGGGGCTTTTTCTGGGTTCTTCAGAGATCCCCTGCAGGAGACACCACTGCTGCCGCCCATTCCCCCTGCAGTTCCCTTTGTGTGAGCAATGCCTTCTCTAGCTCATTATTTTCAGTTCAGCTTTCTTCTCAGTTCCTAGGCTTCAATCAGCCCAGCCCACTTGGCCCAGTCTACCCAACCATCCCTGGGCAGGTGACTCCTGGGCAGCCCCCATCCACAGGATCCACACTGGGCCTCTGGGAAGCCAATCCTTGGACTACATGGTTGATCCCACAATGCACTCAGCTTTGTTCTCAAGCAAGGGCACTTCCAGCCCTCCCTGTTGCCTTTAGACTTTAGATGTGAGTCAAATTCCAGTCCCTGAACTCCAGGGGACATATTAAAAGTTCTCCAAATAATGCTATTGAGGCCCCTCTCATATGGCTTAAGTGGAAAGGGATGAAACTGCCCTGAGCGTCGGTGGATATAGACACAGGACATTGAGAACTATCTCTTATCCAAGGGTGATTTAGGCTAGGCACGGGTGATTAGGCAATGCAGGCAGAACCGGTTTGGGCCCACCCTTCAACTGTGGATGTTCTTCAAATCTATTCTTTTATTCTTGCCTTAGAAGATGTGCTGATACTCTGAGACTTTAGGAAGAACTCCATTTCATATCCTGTCAACAGGCCCCATACCTGCATAGAAATATTCTTGCCAAAGTCACCTTGTGAAATTTAGTAAAAGTTTTATCTTATTTATCTCTGTTACATTTTTGTGCTGTTTCAACACCAAACGCTCTTTCCTAGTGATCAGCCAAAACTTTGCCCTGGGTTTTCTCTGGCCACCTTAACTCTCCCCTCTCAGTCTCTTAGGTTTCTTGGCAATTCTCCAACCTTAATTGTTGGTTTCCTGAGGATTTTTCTATCCTGAACCCTCTTCTCTTTTCACTCAACACACTTTCCCTGGATAAATCCATTCATTCCATTTCTTCAAGAATCACTGGATTGTGGGATGTCTCAATACTTATGATGACACCTCAGGTCTTCTGGGGTATGGAGAAGATAGGTGGATTTATCTTGAGAGCCCAACTCAATCCAAACAACTAAAGAGTTTAGACCATGAGGGTCTCAACTGAGGAAGGATTTTTAGGAAGAGCTGGGAAAAATGGGGGGCAGGATCCCAGATGACTCTCTGGCCTTGAAGCCATTTAGGCCTGATGCACCTCAAATTTGGGCTCATTCATTTGCCTGGGGTTGCTCTAAAAGTGTGAAGGCAGGCAGGAATGAAGTTTTTCAATCCTTGTGCACTCCCCTCTGAGCAATCAATTAAAGCAGTCTAAAATCCATCTTTGAATTGGTAATCATTTCAAAATCTCAGCAAGGCAGTTAGGGATGGAGGGTAGAGAGGGGATGAACGAAAGCATGTAGGCCTCCTTTTGACCTCTTCTACTCAGCTAATAAGCCTCAGTGCATGGCTTCTTTGCCAGTTCTCTGGCTCTTGCTGTTTCTACAGTGGCTGAGTCCCCGCATTTCTGGGACAGAGCTAATTACAAACATTCTGTCCCACCTATCATCATGTCTGCCTTCATCCTTCTAAGACTCTGTGTCCCATATTTTGCTTCAGAAAATATAGTCACCATAGCTCTGTTTCTTTGTGTTCTAAAACTTCCCAGAAAGCTAGCTGCCATCTTTCTCTTCTGCTATCATGGACCCACCCTCCCACATAAGCCAAAACTTAACCTTGGGTAGAAACACTCAGGCTTCCGACCCCCTCAATTCCACGACTGCTTCATGCATATTAGAACAGTATATTTATTTACTTACTAATTTTGTTGAGCACATACACTGGCACATTTTTTAAAAAAAACTGGCAGTCTAACAAGTGGATCTCATAGGGTGCAATCAGAAAACAAGTTGATTCTTTCCTCCCCCTGCCTGTTCAAACCTGTTCTGTGCGCAGGTCCTCCCTGAGCCTGGACATGAGCTAGGGCAGATGGCAACACTTTTCTGGTTACTCCAGGTTAATAAAAAATCCTATGGCTGCCTCTAGTCCACAGAACAGTCTCATTTCCAAATAGGTAAGATGTCTAGTCATGTGCAATTTAACTTTTACCAAAGCTTCTCCCCTTGCTAAGCTGGAACCTGCTGTTGGTAGGAAATGTGTTTGTTCTTTCCTCTCTTTCCCCACCTCCTCCCCACTCCCTGACCCCCTCTAGCCTGTCTTGGGTTAAAGGAAAAGGGACAATGCAGGGAAGAGGATAAGGAGTAGGAAAGGTCTTATTTGGCTGGCACCCAGCTAATATATTGGTCTTCTCTTGACATTCAGAACTCATGCTCTCTGACCATTTGGTGGATGATCAAATCTGACTCTTGCATTGCATGCTTTTGTGGATTCTTTGGAGGCCCTTTCTGGAATACTAGTTATTCTTCTTGTGGTTTGGGCAGCAGTTGCTTATGTTATTTCCTTTGGGCCCTGGGAATACAGTGGGAATACAAGAGAATACACTCACCACTTCAGGCTGTCCTTTTGGGCAGAATTGGAAATGGCTCCAGAAGAGAAGGGATGAGTCCTGGGACAAGGCCCACAGGGTGGTGAGCAGAGTGTGGGCTGGATTTCAGGTCCACCTACAAGGGAGAGTTTCCATAGGTGTGACACAATTTGGGCTATGCAATGGCTTTGCCCATAGCCATGGCCTCTCAGATTGAGTCAGACCCCAGTCCTCCTTGTTGCTCATCAAACTCTTTGGGACGAGCTCTCTGAGGTCTCTTTGAAGTCACTCTCACAAAGACTGACGTGAGGAAAATCCCCCACCCCTTCTTTTTGGAAGATCAATGAGACATTGCTAATTTCTTCTCCCTAACTCCTATCTTCTCTGGCCTCCCAGTGTCAGCCCCTTTATTTCCTTGGGATGTTTGTTTGTGTTTCCATGTTCCCTGTAAGTGCACAGGTGGTCTGGAACCTCCCTTCAGAACGTGGAAGCCTTTGCCAATTACTGTGATGTTCTCAGCCTTTGAACCTCAGCTGAAATGAAAGCAGAAAAAGTCAAATTTTAACATCCTGTTACATGTTGTTTACTCCACTTTGACCAGGCCTTTTGACTCATGGAATCTTTTTTAAAAAATAAAAATCTAGATTTTTAGAGGGATTTTGCCCTTTTCAGCTTTCTGAAACTTCTAAATATGGTTTACATAGAGCAGAACATAGGGGTTTCCTCACACAAGCTAATTAGCATTATGTGGAAAAATGTTTAAGAACACACTTGTGAATAGAAATAGGCTTTAATTAAATGCACCAATGTTGTTTGAGAATGGAAGATTTTTCTCTCTTCTCTTCATTTTTTTTCTGCTTTTTAATTTTTAATATATGTTCCAGCTTTCCTTTAGTGGGCCTAGACTGGTTCACAATCCTTATCTGCAATTCCAAAATCCAAAAAGCTATGGGAAAAAAATGGAAACAATAATAAAACTCCAAAAACTAAGGATTTTCTTTTCATAATTAAATCTACCTAATGAATTTAACCTGAACTGAAGTGAGGCTACTTAAATCCTTTCTTTATCTCAGTATGAACTTTCCAATATTTTAGTGCAGAAATAATACATGCTGTCTTACAGGCTGCCTCCTCCAACCCTACTGGAGATGCGATGTAATACCTATTAATGCCCATACCACCATCAAAAATCCAAAAACAAATTAAAATTCCATAATACATCTGGCTCTAAGAGTTTTGGATAAGTGTTTTTAAGTCTGTACTTTTGTAAAAGAAAAAATACAATAAACTTTGCTATTATTTTCCTTGTCTGACTAGCTTCTCACTGCCTATCTAACTCCTGCCTCTAATTTTTGTACAAGCCATTCTTCCACCTCCCTGGTCCTTCATGTACTTCCTTTCATCAAGCAGAATTTACAACCTACCTCCTCCAGGTGGAGTTTCCTGATAGTCCAATATCATTCTTTACCTAAACATCCAGTTTGGATTTGAAATACATGTTTTCCTTAGTCATGCCAGTTTGGGTTTTAAAGAGACTTAATTCATAATTCAGTGACTGCTCACCCAGCTGTCATTGTGGGACTTTAGCCTCTTCCAAAGACCTCTCCCCATTTCTTTCAGGAGTTCCTAGATGATGTTCAACAAGCTTAGGCCACCATGCCTTTCCTACCCCACACTCATTCTCAAAACCCACTATGAATATCATTTATGGATAAAGCCACTCTTTCCTACTGAACAGTTTAGCACAGTCCTCTACTCCATAAACAGACTAGAAGAATGGGGGGCAGAGCTCAAATCTGCAGGTTAATGGTCCTTATTTGCACATGGTCCTTACGTGCATTGAATTTGAGTACTGGCTTAAACATTTACAGATCAATAGCAGGTCACAAAATCTGAGAGATGTCAACAACAGCTGTAGCCATATGTTATTATGTTACAGTGCACCTCATGCATAGTCTTCACAATAAAGGCTAATCGTTTTTCAGTAGTCTTTGTCCAACCTTATATGCTTGCATAATAGTTCATTTTTTTCACCAATTAAAAGCAGGCGGATCACGAGGTCAAGAGATCAAGACCATCCTGGCCAACACAGTAAAGCCCCATCTCTACTAAAAACACAAAAATTAGCCAGGCATAGTGGCACATGCCTGTAGTCCCAGCTACTCAGGAGGCTGAGGCAGGAGAATCACTTGAACCCGGGAGGCGTAGGTTGCAGTGAGCCAAGATCGCGCCACTGCACTCCAACCTGGCAACAGAATGAGACTCCGTAAAAAAAAAAAAAAAAAAAAAAAAAAAACCAAAAATATTTTTTAGGCTTGGCACAGTGGCTCATGCCTATAATCCCAGTATTTTGGGAGGCCAAGGCAGGAGGATCACTTGATGCCAGGGATTTTAGGCCAGCCTGTGCAACATAGTAAGACGTTGTCTCTACAAAAAATTAAAAATAAATTAGCCAAGCACAGTGGCATGCATCTGTAATCCCAGCAACTCAGGAGGCTGGGGTGGGAGGATGAGCTATGATCTCAACACTGTGCTTTAGCACTTCAGCCTGCGTGGGTGACAGAGTGAGACCCTGTTTCTAACAACAACAAAAAAAAAACTTTTTTAAACCATACAAGCATCCATGTCATGAATTTTTCAGGTGGTCTTCTGACATGTCTGGCTCCTTCACTACTTCTCTCCTTTCTTCTGCTTTCACTTTCTCTCTTCTCTTACCTCCTTCTCCTACAAAACCATTTAGGATTCTTCTATGTACCTTGAGCATAACCTGAGGCATAACTAAGGATAGGCAATGTGATGCATGAGCTCCATAAGTGGTATAAAAATAACTGCTCTAGGAATTCAGACTATGGCTTCGCAGGATATCTTGCTTCTGTATCTCTGTTGCCACCTAGACAAACACATTAAATGTCATAGTCAATATCTTTATTGTCATCTAGGGGTGTGTAGTGGGCTGAATGGTGGTCCTCCCCCAAAAGATATATCCACCTAGATCCTGTGAACGTGACCTTAAGTGGACACATAGAAAGTCCTTGAGGATGTAACTAAGATCTCAAGATGAAATCATTCCCGATTATCTGAGAGGCCCTGAATCCAATGACAAGTAACCTTATATGAAGAGTAAAAGACACAGACAGAAGAGAAGAAAGTGATGTGAAGATGGAGGCAGAGACTGGAGTTGCCAGCACAACTCAGCTCCAACTGCCAGCAGACATTAGAAGCTAGAAGAGAAAAAAGAAGGATTCCCTGCTATAGGTTTTGGGGGGAGCATGGCTGTGCTGATAACTTGGTTTTGGACTTCTGGATTCCAGTTCTGTAAGAGAACACATTTCTGTAGTCTTACGCTACCAAGTTTGTGGTAATTTGTTATGGCAGCCCAGGGAAATGAATACAAAGGGACTAGGAGTGACTAGCCCTGTTTATTTATGGGTATCCTCATCTGTCAGCTTAGAAGTGAAAATAATACTGCTATTCATAAATTTTGCCTATTTTGGACTCGACTATCAAAAGAGAGAGAATCCTCACCAATGCAGAAAGAACTGGATTTAACACATGGCTCCTGGAAAACACTCATATAAAGAACAGTGCCTTCTGTAGAGGAAGTACCACCTAGTGTTCAAGAGTGTGGGCCACTAGAGTCAAATTTGAATCCTGGTTTGAATCCTGCTTCTCCCACTCATTAACCTTGAAACTTTGAGCATTTATCCTTTAGATTCTACACTGGCACATAAGAGCTAAATAAATGTTAGTTCCTATTTAGCTCAATTTCAGAGGTTATTGTGTTTGCTCCATATGCTTGCTTATTTTTGCAGAATACTTGTCTCCGCTTACTTATCCCTCTCCATGGCTGAAATGGCTACCCCAGTCCCAACCTTACATGACCTTTTCATTCAAAATCCAACAGCAGCAATCAGAATCTTTTGGTCACTTATTTCAATTTATTGAAAGAGAGACCACGATGTGTGTTCAAGCCAGTGTGCATATTCGTGATAACTGGGCCAACCTTCCATGGCTAGAAAGATAAAGGCTCTTTGAAGGGGATGAGGGCAGGAAGTCCATGGCAAGCATTTCTAGTACACTGTAGCTTTTCACATTTTATATATTCCAACCTATTTATGTCTTCCTTCATAGTATATGCCTCCAATTTCATGCTTTAAAAAGTATCTCTAACTTTGAGATTAGAAATTCACCAATAGCTTATTTTAGTTTTTTACTTTCCACATATACTCTGTGATCTAATTTGAATTTGTTTATTAGAATGGCACTTTTTTCTCCAAGTAACTAGCTATTTGTCCCAACATGATTTTTTGAATAGCTCATACTTTTCTCACCAATTTGAATACTAATACTGCTAACAATAATAGCATTTTCTGAATGCTTTCTATGTGCCAGAGTTTGTGCTAAGTATATTACATGGGTTACTTCAGCTTGGTTATATTATTATCCACATATTACAGCTAAGAATTGGCATACTTGGGATTCACACCTGGGTCATCTGACTCTAGAGCTCATACTTTTAATTATTATGCTATTCTGATAAGTAATGTGGATCTATTTTTGTCTCAAACAATAAGGAAAATTATTGACATAACTGGAAGTCCAGATGTAGGGCAGGCTTCACAGTTGACTTGGCTGAAGCTCAGTGTCCCCGTGATTCTCTTGGCTCTGCTCTCTTCCATGTGTGGCTTCATCCTCAGGCTGACAATGAGATAGCTGCAGCAATTCCAGCCCCCATATCAATGCACAAAAAATGTGTTGGAAGAAAAAGAGGATTGCTACTCTCAGAAACTCTTCCAGAAAAACAATAACTTTTTGAGACACTCCAACAAAATTTTCTTCAAATCTCATTGGTCCAAAATGAGCCACATGGCCATTCCTGTATCAATCATGAGTAAGAAGAATGGGATAAAATAGATTACATAAGCTCATACCTGCAGTTAGGAATGATGTCAGCTTTCTTTTGGCACATGGGCTGCATAGAAGTGAGGATAACTATCAATAAGAAGTAAGTCCAGCTCTCAGATACAGAAAACCTAAAATAATAGTGGATTCAATAAGTTAGCATTTAGGCCAGGCATAGTGGCTCATGCCTGTAATCCCAATACTTTGGGAGGCCGAGGCAGGTGGATCACTTGAGATCAGGAGTTCAAGACCAGCCTGGCCAACATGGTGAAACCCTGTTTCTACTAAAAATACAAAAATTAGCCAGGTTTGGTAGCTCAAACCTGTAATCCCAGCTACTCGGGAGGTTGAGGCAGAAGAATCACTAGAACTTGGGAGGCAAAAGTTGCAGTGAGCCGAGATCATGCCATTGCACTCCAGCCTGGGCAACAGAGCAAGACTCTGCCTCGGAAAACACACACACACACACACACACACACACACAAGTAAGTTAAAATTTAAATCAGGTCTGAAGGTAGGCAGTATAGGGCCAGTATAGTATGGCAGCTCCATGGTCACCCAGGTTCCTTCCTTCTATCTAAACTATCTAAATGTTTTGCCATCCTCAACACGTGGCTTCTACCTCATGGTCCAAGATAGGTCTGGAGCCATAGCCATTACATCCACCTTCAGACACCAAGAAGGACAAAGGATTGGGAAGGAGAGACTGGCTTCTCCTTTTAAGGATGTGTCCCAACATTGAAACCAAAACTAAAGATACAACAAAAAAGAGAAAACCACAGGCCAATATCCCTGATGAACACAGATGCAAAAATCCTCAACAAAATACTAGCAAACAGAGCTCAACAACATTTTAAAGGATCATTCATTATGATCAAGTAGGATTCATCTTCAAGATGCAAGGATGGTTCAACATAAGCAAATCAATAAATGTGATACATCACATCAACAGAATCAAAGGCAAAAATATATAATCATTTCAGTAGATGATGAAAAAGCATTTGGTAAAATGCAATATCCCTTCATAATAAAAACCCTCAACAAATTGGGTATAGAAGGGATATACCTCAACATCATAAAGGCCATACATGACAAACCTATAGCTAATATCTTACTGAACTGGACAAAATTGAAAGCCTTTCCACCAAGATTTGGACCAAGACAATGATGCCAACTTCCACCACTTTTATTCAACGTAGTACTGGAAGTTCTAGCCAGAGCAATTAGACAAGAGAAAGAAATAAAGGGTATCCCAGTTGAAAAGAAAGAAGTCAAAAACCTCACTGCAACTTAACAAAGAGAGATTCCTTCTTCTCAGGTAATAGTTTAGGGCTGCTTTTGGTGGACTTACATGACGTCTTCAAGAATCCAAGGTCATTCCACATTTCTGTTCCACTATAATTAACATTAGCTTTTCCTAAAGTTCACAAACTGACTGCTACAATTCTAGCCATCATATCTGAGGTTCCTTAGGAGGAAAGGAGAAGGGCAAAATGTAAAAGTTGCATGCCACCTGAATCCATCTAATTTATTGGAAATCAATATCTTTCCTAGAAACCTCATCTGTTAGATTTCTCATTGACCAGAACTATTACGTTGCATGGCCTATTACGGCAAGAAAATCTCAGGGAGATGAGCATTTTAAAATGATTACGTTGCTGTCCTGAACAAAATCAGACTCTATTATTAAAGAAGGAGGAATGGATATTGGGTAGATAACACTATTTACTATCATTTTCCATCTAGAATATTTTTTGCTATATGACATAAAACAAAGAGTTAATTTTTTCCAATAAGTTAACCACCTTTCTCAGCATCTTTATTAAATAACCCATCCTTTCTTCATTGGTTTGACATACAACATATTATATTTGAAACATATAGAAATTCCAATTCCGATAACTGCAAGAGTGGCACCCGAAAGACCATCCTTCCCCAGATTACAACTATAAGCTTTTGACAAAATATCGACGACAACCATTGAAAGCACTGGAGATTAACCAAGAGCAGATAGAAAATGGAGGGTTATTGACACTTGGAAGAAGGAAATGACAGTAGGCGAGTTTCTCAATTGTATAGCTTTAGGCCTAAGGGCAACCCCAATCAGTGCCATATCTGGGATAGAAACCTGCCATCTTGCCAACATGAATAGCTAGAAGGAAGAGGTTGGGGTTACCGTAATAGCTGGAATGCAAAGGGGTTATGCTGGAAAGGAGAGTCACAGTGGAGAAACACTGAATCCTATACATAAGCTCTGTCCAAATCTCTAGTTGTTCTCTGAACAATGCATGGGCAATGCAGAAACCAAGCAGCCAAGTTAAGATTCAAATAATTGAACAGAGATTGCAGCTGATACTTATTACAAGAGACAGAGTTTCACCCAAGTTAACTGGCCACTTAAAAAAAAAAATCAACACTCTTTGGAGGAATGTGACAGAATCCAGGTACCCTGCAATGTATCATTCACGATATCCAGGATACAATACAAAATTAACACCCATACAAGAATAGTAAATATGACCCATACTTAGGAGGAAAGGAAATCAATAAAGATCAATCTTAAAATTACCCAAATTCTGGAATTAGCAGACAATGGATTTTAAAGTAGTTGCTATAACAATGCTCGGTAAAGACTATAGGGTCTCAGGTCACTTCTACTCTCCCCTCCTAAAAAGGGTATTAATAATAGTTTATCCTATTAGGCATATGTCCACATATCCTCCAAACAACTTGAGTGAGAATTAACCAGTCTGGTGAACATTTTTTTTAAAAAGCGGCTTTGGGTAGAAAAGCAAAGACAGGATTCTGTTTTTTGTTTTTTTGAGATGGAGTCTCTCTCTGTCACCCAAGCTGCAGTGCGGTGGCGCGATCTCAGCTCACTGCAACTTCCGCCTCCCAAATTCAAGCGATTCACCTGCCTCAGCCTCCCGAGTAGCTAGGACTACAGGCATGTGCCCAGCTAATGTTTGTATTTTTAGTAGAGATGGGGTTTCATCATGTTAGTCAGGCTGGTCTCGAACTCCTGACTTCAAGTGATCTGCCCACCTCGGCCTCCCAAAGTGCTGAGATTATAGGTGTGAGCCACCACACCTGGCCAGGACAGGCAGTTTTTTAATACCTTTGTAAGGAAAGTAAAACATACCCTTTCCATTGCCAACAGGTCACCAAGTTGGCAGAGATAACTAGTCAAACTCTTGGATCCCCAGCACTTGGTTCAGAGATGCAAGAGTTAGCAGCTGTGGAATTACATGGCTCTTTTGTAGCCCAGCTTGTTTATCACCCTTACTAAAAGCTTAAACAGTCCCTCTTCAATGAAGGCTGTCCTGCAGCCCAATCCCACCCTATGCCTTCGATACCTTAATGTTTTCAAAATTCAACACAGCAGTATAACTTCCATGGGGAATATAGAGAAACTAAGACTCAAAGGGGTAAAAGGACACCATAGGAGTTACAAAGCCTACTACAGCTCTGTAAGAAGGTGAAATGGGCAGCCTTATTAACCCATTTCTTTAATCTGTCATTTAGGGAAAGTGGCTTATCCAATGGTTGCTGCCTATTCTGCAAGCAAGTTTGCTTTGGATGGGTTCTTCTCCTCCATCAGAAAGGAATATTCAGTGTCCAGGGTCAATGTATCAATCACTCTCTGTGTTCTTGGCCTCATAGACACAGGTAAGGTCAATACTTTGTGTTTTTTTTTAATTATTATACTTTAAGTTCTAGGGTACATGTGCAGAACATGCAGGTTTGTTACATATGTATGCATGTGCCATGTTGGTGTGCTGCACCCATTAACTCGTCACTTACATTAGGTATATCTCCTAATGCTATCCCTCCCCCTTCCCCCCACCCAACAGGCCCAGTGTGTGATGTCCCCCTTCCTGTGTCCAAGTGTTCTCATTGTTCAATTCCCACCTATGAGTGAGAACATGCGATGTTTGGTTTTTTAATACTCTGAATAATGACCTGCAGATGAACTGTCTGCCTTACCATTGTGGATAAACAAGGGTGCTGAACTCCCTGACCTCATGTGTAATGCACTAAAAACAAACCAGTGCAGAAAGCACTAGCTCTCTCATTTAAAGGCATTTCTGTCACTAGTGGAGGCTCTGGCTACTCTTTGACTCTCCTTTCCATTTTGATTACCAAGGTGGCTGAGTCTCACCACATTCATCACTTAACCCTTTGCTGAACACCTTATGTCCTCATGGACACTCAATGGCCATTACGTTTCTATATGAGACTTATCAAAATACAAGTTTGTGTTTCTTAAAAGCAGCACCAGTAATAAGACACACTGGTATCATGAACTCTTTGATGTGATGTTCTGAGAAGAACACAACATCATTTTGGTGGTGTTCTTGCCAAAATACATGACCCCACTCCAATCATAAGAGAACAATGAACAAAACCAAATCAAGGAACATTTTATAAAACATTTGGTCAGTATTCTTCAAAAGTGTCAAGGCCATCAGAGACAAGGAAAGGCTGAAGAACTGTCACAGATTGGAAGAAAAATGGGAAGAAATTACTACTAAGTGGAATCCTGGATAAGATCCAGGAACATAAAAAGAACATTAGTGAAAAAATAAGGTCTGTAGTTTAGTTAATATATTGTATCAATTCTATTATTATACCTGTCCTAAATCATTGCACAATGGTTATATATGGTGTTGCAACCAGGGGGAGCAGGTGTGGAATATAAGGGGGTACGGCCTACAATTTTTACAACTTTTCTGTTAAGTCCAAATACAAGTTTATCTAAAACATGTGGCAGATATTAAAAGAAAATGCTCTTTGAAGAGTAATTGAGCAACAGTTAGAGAAATAGAGAGAGAGACCGAGACCCAGGGGGAAACAAGAAAGGAATGGAGAGAGAGAGAGAAGTTGTGCAAGATGGACATGAAAACTTGGAAGGGGAGAGAAGTGAAAGTGGTGACAAGGGAGCAAAAGCCTGTATTCTTGTGTATCTCTTCCTTTTACAAGACAGTAAGTCATTATCATACAGCACTCTGGTTTTTCCCACTGGCACTTCCCATTAGCTACTGAGTCATTATGAGACTTCTATCCTCATTCTGCTCCCCCATATTACTTCTCCGCCTCCAACCAAAATACCCAAGAGAGAAGCATGATTCAGATCTCCCAAGTAATCACCTCTAACTGCTCCCACCAATCTCCATCCAGGAAGGCAAGGCCCCTATTAACACTAAGGCCTCTCTTTGCCCAACAGACTCTAACATACCCAGTCTCTCCATGTATTCCCTATAGTGCCTGTGAGGCTTGCAGAGCAAACACTGCCAAAAGCCCCTGACAGCTAAGTGGTTGATGTCTCCAGGCCTTCCATCATGTAGACTGTCCTAGTCAGATAACCCTACTCTTCCCTTGTCATTCTATAGAAACAGCCATGAAGGCAGTTTCTGGGATAGTCCATATGCAAGCAGCTCCAAAGGAGGAATGTGCCCTGGAGATCATCAAAGGGGGAGCTCTGCGCCAAGAAGAAGTGTATTATGACAGCTCACTCTGGACCACTCTTCTGATCAGAAATCCATGCAGGAAGATCCTGGAATTTCTCTACTCAACGAGCTATAATATGGACAGATTCATAAACAAGTAGGAACTCCCTGAGGGCTGGGCATGCTGAGGGATTTTGGGACTGTTCTGTCTCATGTTTATCTGAGCTCTTATCTATGAAGACATCTTCCCAGAGTGTCCCCAGAGACATGCAAGTCATGGGTCACACCTGACAAATGGAAGGAGTTCCTCTAACATTTGCAAAATGGAAATGTAATAATAATGAATGTCATGCACCGCTGCAGCCAGCAGTTGTAAAATTGTTAGTAAACATAGGTATAATTACCAGATAGTTATATTAAATTTATATCTTATATATAATAATATGTGATGATTAATACAATATTAATTATAATAAAGGTCACATAAACTTTATAAATTCATAACTGGTAGCTATAACTTGAGCTTATTCAGGATGGTTTCTTTAAAACCATAAACTGTACAAATGAAATTTTTCAATATTTGTTTCTTATTTTGTGGTCTGAACTCTTTATCTCTTCCTGAGTGGAAGAAATCACCCTAATCTTTGTTTGGTGGGGAATATTGTGTCTTTACCTTTTCTGTGTATTTCTGATATTCTTCATATTATTGCATATTGCTCCTCTGGGAAAGAAGACACCTAGGCATAAGGAACTAGGGCAAACCCAGGAAAATGGAGGTCCCAGAAACTTGAGCCACAGACCCAATGCCCATTTACTGCTCTCAGAGGACATCAAGCATCTGTACTTTACATGTGAACACTAAACTCTGCATTGGAAGTTTGGAGAGGGGGAGTTGGAGTTCAAATCCTGCCACTCACTCATTTAGACATTTACTCATTCAACAAATATTTAGTAAGCACTTATTAGGCATCACCTAACTATGATTAAATGGGAAACAAAACATCAGCATGATGAACAACTCAGCAAAGCCCTATATTGATCAGGGCCCAAGAAGTAAGAGATGACACCCTCAAATTGGGTAATTTTAGTAGCATTTAATAAAAAAAGGGGCAAGGCACAGGGAAATCACAAAAGATAGTGATATCTCAGGGTTAGTTGCAGCTGTTTCCATCGTAAGGCCCACAGGGACAAGAGAAGAGACCTGTTACCAAAACCTCAAGATGTGAAGACCTGTATGGAGAGCACCACATGGCAGGAGCTGTAACATTTAGTTAAGAGATGCAGCCAACCAGCCAGGCGCTGTGGCTCACGCCTGTAATCCTAGCACTTTGGGAAGCTGAGGTGGGTGGATCACGAGGTCAAGAGATTCAGACCATCCTGACCAACATGGGGGAACCCCGTCTCTACTAAAAATGCAAAAATTAGCTAGGTGTGGTGGTGCACACCTGTAGTCCCAGCTACTTGGGAAGCTGAGGCAGGATAATTGCTTGAACCTGGGAGGCAGAGGTTGCAGTGAGCTGAGACTGTGCCACTGCACTCCAGCCTGGCGCCAGAGCGAGACTCCATTTCAAAAAAAAAGAGATGCAGCTAGCCTACCAAGGATTGTGAAGGAGGTGTCTAGGGGAAAAAACACCCTAGCCTCACCTCACGCTCTTCCCTCCCTCTGATCTCTGGCCAGCATTTCACATTAGCTGAACAGAGGGGCAAGGGAGCAGATAGGTATAGACCATACAGGTCAGCTTCCCCATGTACAGAGCAGATGGAAAAGGGTAGAGAGTGTTCTGGAGAAATGAATGGAGTATATCCATCAGGAACCCCAACACTCCCAAACATACAGCTTCCATGGTAAGTAATGCTGGGACATGAGACATGTGCCTAAAAGTGCAGGGGAAATTTTCTTTTCCCACCTCTGAATCTAAATGGCTGGGCAGCAGAACATATTGGAATCTATTGAGCCTGCCAGCCACATGGACAAAGGGCTGGATTTGAGCCTGCTAATGTGGCTGCACTTTTCTTAGAGGTCCTTCCAAGGCTATGCTCAGTGCAAGGGAGCAGGAGAGACCTGGCTGCATCCATGTGCAAAAACAAGACAAAACAAAAAGGGCCAAAAAATGTAGTCTGGTTTCTGACATGAAATGCACCCACACTTGCAACGTGGCTTAATATATGTCCTGGTTTCTGATCAATCAGATTAACACCCTTCAGTCTCTTGTAGAAATGAGACTCCTTCTTCACAGTGAGATGAAGTGAAGTAATTCCTTTACTCAAGGGTAGAGATAATATTAAAGCTGAGTTAGAATTTGCTTGGGGAGAGGTTAAACCTCTTTCTAAATGAGACTTTCTTCAGAATCCAAAGGGGAAGATCTCAAAAAGTAGGTCTGAGAACTGAAACCATCTACACCCACATAGCTTATTGTCTTCATTAACATGATTTTAACATTCCATTCTCTTTATCAGCATGACTTTACTATTCCAAGAAACTCTTGTCCGAGAAGATAAATGTTGCAAGCCCATTTAAAAGTGCTGAATTTTTCAACAGATAGCATCAAATGACTGCTACTCTTTAAGACTGCTTGGAACCCTTAGTTCCAAACCCCAGCTTCATTGTGTTCACCAGTCTCCAGCTATGGCATCACAATCCTTATCCAATTCAAATAAAGTCACCATGCTGAAGTCTCGCCTTAACCTAGACTTCAAAGCCCCATAAAGACCCTGACTTTACCCTCTCCACTCTCAGAGTCTACTAAGACTCCATCAAGACTCCAGCTTTGCCTTATCAACAGGTTGTTTTGGTGGTCTTTTTTAGGGAGCCAACATTCAACAAGTCCTTCCTAAGAGGTCGTCTCAGGGGTCCTCATCCAGTTCCTAACCTGGCTCCCCTGTCCCTTAAATACCTGTCTCATCTCTCAGGACTGGCAGGGGTTCCAGCAGCTGGAGCCAAGTTCCAATTTCAGTGGCACCAGCAGTACAATGACCCTTGTCTTTGGACTAGTTCCACTTAAAAGAACCTAGCCTTCCTAGCTCACTTTATCACGAGCTCAAAAATATACATCCAAGGACGTCCATTTTCACATCCTTACGTGAAATCCAGATGTGCATCACTCACTTCTCGCCCATATTAACACAAAAATTCAGCTTCTCTTTGTAGGTTCCAAAAGTAATTATATTCTCACTGAAAGTATTAGTAAGCAAGGTAGTGTTTGCAATATGCAAGGTAGCATATCTCAGAGGGGAGAAGGAAGACTAAGTTTACATTCATTCAGTGTGCATCATTTTTTTTGTTTGTTTGTTTTGTTTTTTGTTGTTTGTTTGTTTGTTTGTTTTTTGAGACAGGGTCTTGCTCTGTCACCCAAGCTGGAGTGCAGTGGCATGATCATGGCTTCACTGCAGCCTTGAACTCCTGGGCTCAAGCAATCCTCTGGCCTTAGCCTCCCAAGGAGCTAGGACTACAGGCATGGGCCATCGTGACTGGGCTGATTTTTTAAAAATTATTTTTAGTAGAGATGAGATCTTGTTATGTTGCCCAGGTTGGTCTCAAACTCCTGAGCTCAAATAGTCTTCCCATTTCAGCCTCCCAAAGTGCTGAGATTACAGGCATGAGCCACCGTGCCCAGCCCGGTGTGCATCATTTAACTCAAAAGATCCCCCTTGGCCATGTTGCCCTCAAAGTGCTTCCTCTAAGCTTCCCCTCTTAATCTGACTTTGACCCCCCAGAGAATCCAGCCTCTAGCCTCCTTCTTCTCCCTCATAAATTTATTATGCACAGTTGATTCTGACTCTAGTTTGAGGCTATCCAGCAACATCTTTTTTAACAAAAATAGCCTCTTCCCACAAAGAAATTCCTTCACCAAATATTACATTTGTAGTAGCCAAGACAATTGAAAACAACCTTAATGTCTACCTATAGGGAAATGTTTAAATTATAGGAATTAAATTCAATATTATGAAATCACTGTGTCATGGTAACAAGGGATCAAGTCAATTTATATGTACATCCATGGAAGGAATTCCAAGGCATACTGTTAAGTGTATAAAACAAGTTGCTTAAAAAGATGCATAATATAATTCCATTTATGTTAATAAGTTATACACACACACACACACTCATGGAATGAGGATGTGTGGATTCCATGTGAATGGAATGGGGAAGCTAACTAGCATAAGGCACTATTGTAAGACCTGAGAAAATTAGGAACAGCTCTCTTCCAAGGAATACACCTGTGATTCTCAAACTGGCAGTGTTGCAAGTTGAACCGTGTCCCCAAAAAAGACATATTAAGTCTCTAATCCCTAAAACCTCAGAACATGATTTTATGTGGAAATAGATCATTCCAGATATAATTACTTAGGTGAAGACAAGGTTGCACTGGATTCAGGTGAGCAACATGACTAGCATCATTTTAAGAAGAAGGCCACATAAAGGCAGAGACACACAGGGACAACACCTTGTGATGACAGAGGCAGAGATGCAAGTGATGCAGTTGCAGGCCAAAGGACACCAAGGCTTGAAAACCCCTATCAGGAAGCAAGAAGAGGCAAGGAAGCCCTCTCCCCTACAGGCTGCAGTAGAAGTGTGGCCCTGTCAACAACTTGATTTCAGTATTCTAGCCCCCAGGACTGTGGATCAATAAATTTCTATTGTTTCAAGCCACTGCGTTTGTGGTACTTTCTTTGGCAGCCTTTGGAACCTAATAGAGGAAGTACTTTCTTTGGCAGCCCTAGGAACCTAATCCCTGTATTAGGGATCCCTAATACAGGGATATGTACCCCTTGCCCTGCTTCTCTTGGTGGCCCAAGATTATGATGTTATCATAATGTTATGATTATAATATTACCATAATCTTGGGCCACAAAGAGAAGCAAGGCAAGGGATACACATTCCTTGACCCAGAATTTTACTTCCAGGAATCCTGACATACAAATGTGATCTAATTAAAACAGAATCAAGTCATACCTCCATCAAAACCCATAATTATCCCATTCATTCTGAGTAAAGGCCAAAGTCCTTACAGAGACCTAAAAATCTTACATGATCTCGGTCCTCATTGGCTCTGAGACGGCATCTCCTTCTCTTCTCCCCTCATTGCTCAAGCACTCCAAGAGGCCTCGCTTGGCCTCCTATCTATTCCAGAGCATGCAAAATATGTTTCTACTTCTCTATACCACATGGCCAGCTGCCTTACTTCCTTCAGATTCATTCAAAAAGTTGCCTTTTCCTAGGCTAAGGACATGAATAGACAATTCTCAAAAGAAGATATACAAATGGCCAACAAACATGTGAATAAAATGCTCAACATCAGCCAGGCATGGTGGCTCATGCCTGTAATCCCAGCACTTCGGGAGGCTGAGTTGGGTAGATCACCTGAGGTCAGGAGTTCAAGACCAGCCTGGCCAACACGGTGAAACCCCATCTCTACCAAAAATACAAGAATTAGCCAGGCATGGTGGCAGCATCTGTAATCCCAGCTACTCAGTGGGCTGAGGCAGGAGAATCACTTGAACCTGGGGGGTGGAGGTTGCAGTGAGCCGAGATCACACCACTGCACTCCAGCCTGGGCAAGAGAATGAGACTCTGTCTCAAAAAAAAGAAAAAGAAAAAGAAAAAATCCTCAACATATCTAATGATCAGGGAAATGCAAATCAAAATCACAATGTGATACCACCTTACTCCTGAAGAAATAATCAAAAAAATCAAAAAATAATAGACATTGGCATGGATGCGGTGAAGAGGGAACACTTCTACACTGCTGGTGGGAATGTAGGCTAGTGCAATCACTATGGAAAACAGTGCGGAGATTCCTTAAAGAACTAAAAGTAGAACTACCATTTGATCCAGCAATTCCACTACTAGGTGTCTACCCAGAGGAAAATAAGTCGTTATACAGAAATGATATCTGCACATGCATGTTTATAGCAACACAACTCACAATTGCAGGAATGTGGAACCAACCCAAATGCCCATCAGTCAACGAGTGGATAAAGAAACTGTGATATATATATACACACACACACACACACACACACACACACACAATGGAATACTACTCATCCTTCAAAAGGAATGAATTAATGGCATTCACAGCAACTTGGATGAGATTGGAGACTATTATTCTAAGGGAAGTAACTCAGGAATGGAAAACCAAACATCGTATGTTCTCTCCTAAGTGGGAGGTAACCTATGAGGATACAAAGGCATTAGAATGACACAACAGACTTTGGGGGCTCAGGGGAATAGGGTGGGAAGGGGGTGAAGGATAAAATACTACAAACTGGGTTCAGTGTATACTGCTCAGGTGATGGGTGCACCAAAATCTCACAAATCACCACTAAAGAACTGACTCATGAAACCAAACACCACCTGTTCCCCAATAACCTATGGAAATTAAAAAAAAAATTTTTAGGTTGCCTTTTCAATGAAGCATTCCTTAGCCACCCTAAATAAAATTTCAAACCCACCCTGAAATGTTCTTTTTGTTTTGTTTTTTTGAGACAGGGTCTCTCTCTGTCACCCAGGCTGGAGTGCCAAGGCATGACACAGTTCACTCTAACCTCTACCTCCCGAGCTCAAGCAATCCTCCCACCTCAGCCTCCAGAGAGATGGGACCACAGGCATGTGCCACCATGCCTGGCTAATTTTTGTATTTTTTGTAGAGACGGGGTTTTGCCATGTTGCCCAGATTGTTCTCAAACTCGTAAACTCAAGATATCTACCCGCCTTGGCCTCCCAAAGAGCCGGGATTACAAGGATGAGCCACCATGCCAGGCCTGCCCTGAAATTTTATGTCTGCCTTCCCTGCTTGTTTTTTCTCCTTAGTACTTATTATTATCTATATTGTTGGTCATTTATCTTGTTTATTATCTGTCCTTGTCCCAGTTACTATGGTGACATAACAAATCATCCCAAAACTCAGTGGCTTAAAACATAAAATGACATTCGCTTCGCTTGCAAATCTGTAGTCTGAGCAGGCTCAGCAGGGATAGTTAATTTCTGCTCCACTCAGCAAGATTGGGTGGCTCAAAGGTCAGGAACTAGAATCACCTAAAAGCGTGATTGTGCCTGCCCTGGGAAGACATGAACAGCTGGACTCTGAAACAGGTAGGGCACTTTAGGTGCCTGGCTCCTTGGGCACCTGGAGCTAAGCAGGGAGGGCACAGCAGGAGTCTCTCTCATCTTTGTGTGATCTCTCCACATGGTCACTTGGAATGGCAGCTTTAGGGTTGCCAGACTGCTTGGAGGACTTGAGATCTCCAAAGGCAAGTGTCCCAAGAGAAAGAGCCAGGCAGAAGCTATATTGCCTTTCAGGACTGACCATACACTTTTGGTCGAAGCACTTCTGAAGATGCACCTCATTTCAAGGAAAAGGAATACAGACCCCACCTGTTGATGGAGGACTGTCATTGTCACATTGTAAGAAGAGCATGTGGGATGGATGGGCTAAAAATTGCTGCAGCCATCTTTAGAAAGTACCATCTGCCACATTCCCCCTGCTAGAATGTTGGTTTCATGAGGACAGGAGTTTTTTCTGTTTAGTTCAGTGTGCCCCCAGCACCTAGAGGAGCACCTGGCACATACGTGTGGGCCAGAGAAGATCATGAGGTATCTAGATGCAAGTGATAAACTGTTGTACCAGACCCAGAATCAGGAGCTTCTGAGGGTCACATAAACACAGGAAGAAGGCAGGTTTGCAGGAGCCAAGGCCCTGCAGATTGTCAAGAGGACAGGAGTGGGAGGGCTGATTAGGAGGTGAGGAAATGAGTACAGAGACAGAAACATGGTCAGGTGACAAATTGATAGCCAAAGTCAAGTTAAAATTAGTTTTTGCCTTTAGTCTGAACATGTAAGAGTTCTTCTTAGGCCCAAAGATATTGTAAGGTTTCAGCCCGTGTTCAGGATAAAGCAGCCTTTCTCTGATTCTGCTAATTTTGGGCTTATTCACCCCTCCATAGCATTAGGGGAGCAGAAGATATGAAAACTAATAGCCAGTATCTATGAGTTAATATTAAACGAAAACTTTGGTCTTTTCCAGGGCTGTGCTGACAAATGTTTAACAACTAACTCTCCAGAAAAAGAAGAAACAAAGCCTTAATTCGCTGATTTGTAGCATTTGCCTGTATCTATGATGTAAAGACTCTTACTGTGGCCAACTTCGAGTCACCAACAGGACATCACGGCATGTGGATTGGGAAGAGATGGACACCCCCGGCTCTCTCAAGCCTGTGTACTGGCTCCAGCACATCATCATGACTTTCACTTTCCACATTCCTGACAGAATTCGTTATTCTTAAGGAGACAGTTCACTCTCTCCTCCTCCAGGACTTGAAATCAAACTCTGATAACATGAGTCAAATTGGCGTTTTCTGTTTTTTGTTGTTTTTTTTTTCTGTCAGCAAGCGTGGCCAAGCTGACTAGCAGTGACAAGATATCTACATTCTATAATACAATTGCCAGGGAAGGAGAGGCAGCAAGGGCTCCTGAAGACATGGGATGCTCACACTCTTCCATTCTAAGGGCATCAGCATCCTGCATGAAGTCAACAGCCTTGACCAAGGTGTCAGTGAGACCTGCAGTCATGACTTTCAAGTTTGTTAGCACTGCATTCCCCTGGGAGTAACAGAAAATCCAACTGTCTGACAGTGGCTGGCTGAATCAGGCAGAGACTTATTTTCCTCTCCTAACAAAAAGTCTGGGTGGAGCTGACTAGGGCCTTCGGGGACCTGGGCTCCTTCTGTCTTTCCACTCAGCTCTCCATCCTCCTCCTTGTTGCTGGATGTTCACAAGACAGTGGCCCCACCCTCAGCATCACTCAGTGTTTCTGGCAAGAGAAGGAGGAAGGTGAAGGGTACAGGATGCACACCAGCTGACTCTGACCCCTGATAATGAGCACACTGGGAGGCCCCATCCAAAGACTTCAGCTTACATCTCACGGCCCACAGCCATGGCATGTGGCCACTGTTCCCTTCAGGGGAGGCTGAGAAATGGAGCTTTCAACTGGGCACATTGCCACGCCAAACAAAACTGTGGTTCTATTCAGCAACCAATAGTGTTTGTCATAAGTATAAATCACCAGAGAAGCAGGGAGATACAGTCAGAGCAGAAGGACACAGGTCTGAAGACATCAGCCTCCTAAGCATGCTGACAGCATCCACTCACACTGACCATTTGCAAGGTACTACTTGGACACCACAGTTCTACCTATGCTGGAGGAAATCCTAGGCCTCCCACATCTGCAAATTTCCCTTTGACAAATTGTGATTCCCTCTCTTCAGTAAAGAATGTCATGAAAAGGCCTAGATATCAGTAGGAGGGAGCCCTGAGGAGGTAACCTCAGAGGAGGAGCACACATTGGCACAGGGGACAGACATCCAAGTTGCTCTTCCAGACATCTCCTTCTCAAGGATAGTTAAGTCCCCCCTCACCAACAAGTCCCTCTCAAGAGCTGCTGTGCTACTATTCTCCACACTGACAGGACCTTTCTCCTTGGCTGGACCACTCTGGGCCAGCATGTGAAACCCACCCCAGAGCACAGTCCACGGCAAACTTCAAAGGATGACTGGATCAAAGACTCTCTAGAGGAGGGTTCTCCAAAGCTTTTGATCGCATACTTCATTATTAAAACATGATTACACTTGGGGAATTCAAAAGATCCCCAAGATGGAAAAAAATGATTAAGCATATGTGCTTCTAATAGATATATAGTTACTATTTATTTAATATATGCATATAATATTTGCTAGCATAAAACATAGGCAGAAATTGAAATCTTAAAAGGACAAGCTAAAAATAAATAGAGAGATGCGGCTGGCAGACGCGTAGTGTGGGCACACACAACTGTCCCATGTGAGGCTCATGGTAGATGAGGCCCTAGTAGATGGGCCATGGGCCCAGGTAGATGAGGCCTGGAGCCTGGCTGGCCGGGCCATGCTGCTGGAGGTGCAGGGCACACCCGTTCGTGGTGTTAGGGCTGGCATGCCAAGTGCACTGCGGTTGTCCACCAACTCCTTCCTGGTTTCCCTGATGTGGCCGTGGGGCTGTTCGCCTTCCCCTTTGCCATCATCATCAGCCTGGGTTCTGCACTGACTTCCACAGCCACCTCTTTCTTGCCTGCTTCATGCTTGTGCTCACACAGAGCTCCATCTTCAGCCTCCTGTCCATGGCCATCAACAGGTACCTGGCCAGCCACAGTCGGCTCAGGCATAAAAGTTTAGTCACTGGGACCCAAACAAGAGGGGTTACTGCTGTCCTCTGGGTCCTTGCCTTTGGCACTGGACTGACCCCATTCCTGGAGTGGAACAGTAAAGACAGTACCTCTAATAACTGCATGGAGCCCTGGGATGGAACCATGAATGAAAGCTGCTGCCTTGTGAAGTGTCTCTTTCAGAATGCGGTACCCATGAGTTACATGGTATATTTCAGTTTTGGGGGGTAAGTCCTGCCCCCACTGCTCGTAATGTGGCTGATCTCCATCAAGTTCTTCACAGTGACTGCAGGCAGCTTTAGTACACGGAGCTGATGGACCACTCAAGGACCACCCTCCAGTGGGAGATATACACAGCCAAGTCGCTGGCTGTGATGGTGGGGATGTTTGCTCTGTGCTCGCTACCAGTGCGCACCATGGACTGTGTCACTCTTTTTCAGCTAGCTCAGGCTAAAGATAAGCCCAAGTGGGCAAGGAAGATGACCATTCTCTTGTCACATGCAAATTTGATTGTCAATCCCATTGTCTATAACCACTGGAACAGAGAATCCTGCTATACTTTTCATAAAATTATTTACAGGTATGTTCACTGCTGGATTGAACTCAATAATGGGAATGAGCAGGTCAGGGCACAGCCTGTTCTCAGTGTGGCCTGTGAAGCAGGCTCTGGTCTCTTTGAGGAGAAGACATAAATACATAATAAACAATGGGACAGGACGTGACTGGCTGATTCTCATTGTGAAAGATAGCTATACTTCCCAAGCACATGGGCTGCCTCTTTTGAGCACTCCCCTGGAGCTACCATATATCTAGGTAATATATACCTGTTATTAGTAGGCTCCAAGGGTTGACAAATATATTTATGGTTCTATTTGGCTGCTCTTACTGTGTTGATGATGCTGACAGCTTGAATGGATTCTAAAAGCATGTTTTGTTTTGTTTTAGAGTCTGCCTCCTTTATGGTCGAAAATGACAAACTATTTTACTCTGAAACACTGTGAACTATTATAAAGCAAATATGTTTTAACTTAGAGGCAATGAAACAATAAAAGTTGCCTGTACTAAAAATGTGTATTTGTTTCTAAGAAGGCAGCCAGGAAAATTAAAAGTATAATTCTTCAATCAAGAAACTGCCACATTAATTTGAGGAAATGATAGTCTCCTAAGTTCTTAAGTAGAATTGTCAACACGTAATAATTTTAAGCTCCGTTCTTTTCCATATACAGAAAACTACCTGAGGGGAAGAAATTGGAAGGATGAGATCCGTCTTCTACCAAATTCCCCTTTCCAGAGCTAGGGAGTGAATTTCGCTTCTCTCCAGCGTTCAAGTTTGGCCAAGTTCTTGGAACCTAAAACATGAACTTTTCACTAAGCAAAATTATATAACTATGTGTACATATTAGGTGAAATAAAAATAAAACATTTTAAAAATTAAATTAAATTAATTAAATAGAAATTCCAATATTCTGCCCATCCTAGCAGTTCTCCTGCACGTCCCCTTTTGGAGGCTATGGCTCTAAAGTTGTATTAGAGAAAGAAGTCAGCATATGTTATGCTTTTAATTAGTCCTTTGGGACGTGAGTTATGGGACAAACCTTCCCTTGGCTTAGGGTGAGCTCCAGTAAGTCAGATACAGAAAGAAAAATATTGCATTATCTCACTTAAAAAAAAAAAAGAAAAACTTGAATATATAGAAACAGAGAGTAGAAAGGTGGTTGGGGTACAGGGATGATGGGGAGACAGCGGTCAAAGGGCACAAAGTTTCAGTTATGTAAAATAAATAAGCCTAGAGATCTAATGTACAATATAGGGGCAGCAAAACTCCACCTCCATTCTCAGAGAGTCCTGGCTGAGCCCAAGAATTAAACTGATATAAGACAGATTAACAGAAGACAAGCAAACAAATTTATTTAATAGAAATTTTGCATGGCACAGGAGAACCTCATAAGGAAATAAAGACCCAAAGAAGCAGTTAGAGTCAGTTACAAACTCAGTATACTGAATTTGACAAAGAATAGCACACTGTGAAATGTGATAAGGCAAGTGGCTTGGGCTAGGGTATTTAATTGGGTAGAGATGCAACTAGGAAGATAAGGGTTAGTTTAACAAGGTTTGTTTGTACAGATTTCTCTTGGCTTCAGCTTCTCATCCTTGATGATAAGACTGTTCCTTTTTTTTTCCTACTACAGGGAGGATGTCTTTCCCATGAGAATGTCATCTGCTTTTAAGAAACAGCTCAAAGGTCAGAGTGATCTTCTTGCACTTGCTGTTTTTTAAGTGCCCTTAACTCAAATAGTCAATATGCCAGAATGGCATATCTTTAACTCCTGAAACATCACGAGGACTATAGTTAATAGTATTGCATCATATACTGGAAATAACAGAGTAGATTTTACGTACTTTTACCACAATAAAAAAAAAAGGTGACTATGTGAGATGATGAATATGTTAACTTGCTTGACTGTAGCCATTATTTCACTATGTAAATGTACAGTCATGCATGGCTTAACAACGGGGATAAGACCGGAGAAATGCATCACAGTTGACTCCATCATTGTTCCAACATCATAGAGTGTATTTACACATACCTAGCTGATAGAACCTACCACACACCTAGGCTGCATGGTATACCTTCCGCTCCTCGGCTACAAACCTGTGCAACATGTTACCATACTGAATACTGCAGGCAATTGTAACACAATGGCAAATATTTGTGTATCTAAACATATCTAAGCATAGAAAATGTAGAGTAAAAATACAATATTATAATCTTATAGGACCACTATCGTATATACGGTCCATCATTGACCAAAACATCATTATGCTATGCATGACTGCATATCAAAAAATCAATTTTTAAAAGATGGAAAAGTACCAGATGAGCACTGGCTGATTTGGGGAGGCTTTCTGGGAAGGATGATAGGAAACAGCAACCCTAGGGGAGGACACATTGGTACACCGCATAACCTGGAATCAGAGGGTGGAAACTGGGGACTGGCCCAAAAGACCCTTAACAATGAGGGGCTGAGGCCCAAGGGACACAATGACAGAGCGTTCGAGCATCTCTCTGCTGAGCGACTCGCTGCCCCGGGACCGCTGGGGTGGTGTGCGTCAGGGGCTCCCTCACACCGTCCTTGAACAGTACCGTGGACCACAAAAGAGCAAGGCTGTCCTAAGGAAAGACTTTGCCTCTTCGCCGGCCTCCCTTTGGGCCGTCAGGGTGGCAGCGCCACCCCGTGGCTGAATGTGGTGGTGTACCACGCTTCACGCAATCTCCTTGCCCAGTGCGTATCAGGTTCTACCCCAGGGCGGCCACCACCTGCACACCAGCGTGCCTACCAGTGAGTCATCGCTTAGGGCCCTGAACTGACCTAGAGGCGGGGCTGGACTCCGGCGTCCGGTAACTCCGCCCGGCTGCTGGGGCCTACGTTTGGCATTGAGCCGTGGGGAACTAGACCTGTTCAATAGCGACAGCTAGTGGTCACCCTCAAAAACAAGGTGCTCTGAACCTCGCGGGGAAAGCGCTGTCAAGATATGGGAAAATCAGGACAGATGATTGGCCTTGAGTGGAAGCTGGCACATTTTCGAAGCCACTCTTGGGTAAAATGGTCTGTCGAAAACCCAAACGCTTTAAAGTGATGTACAACGACCTTGGCTGCCTCTCCAGCCACATCTCGGGCCACCTGCCTTGCTTTTGATTCCCCAAGGACAAAGAACTGCCAGTCCTCTGAAGCACCCTGATGATCCCACTGTGTGTTGGCCATGCCATCTCCTCTGCCCTGAGCGCTCTTCACTCTCCCCATTGCATGGTTAACTCCTGGGCCTCCTTTAAGGTTAGGCCCAACCATTACCTCCTCCAGGAAAACTTCCTTCCCTTCCACCCGGTCCACCTCTCAAGGCTGGGGCAAGTGAGCTCCCACCTCTATCCCATGCCTCTACAGTTTTCTGTATTTGTTTATCACTTGAGTTTATCACACTTTTTAAATTTACCTGAAAATTGCCTTGTGTGTCTGTAACTAAGAGAAGATACTGACTATATTGTACTCATTGTTGCATCTCTAGTACTGAGTGCAATTTTAGGCATTTAGAAGGTATTTAATGTTTAAGAAATAAAGAACTCATAGACCCTCATACTGGGAAAGGCTTTAGAAGAAACGGAGACCCACAGGGGCAAAACAGCCTTGCATTTCAACAGAGAGGCGGAGACGGATCTAAAAGTCAGCTCACTGGATTCCAGTCATTGCCTGTTGCCCTACACCACGCTGTTTTTGCCCCCTGCTGACACCCAATGCACTGAGCTCTCAAGCTGGTGAGAGAGCCTTCCAGCTCTACTGACCCTGCCATCTCCACCATGCCCTAAAGCCCAGCTTGATTCCCTCCCACCCACTTCCTGGAAATCTTTGCTCTCAGAACTAACCTACTTCTTCACTAAACTTCTCCAGCAAACCCACTCCAAGGTTTTATCCTAAAGAAAGTATTTTAAAAGAAGAAAAACAAATAAATGCATGCATGAAGATACCCATTGGCAGCATTATCTGTAAAAGCTAAAAATTAGAAATGACAAAAATCTCCATATAATTAAATAAAATTAAATTCCTCTATATAATTTCCACATGAATAAAATTCCTAATTATATCATGCAAACTAAAACGAGTTTCACTGCAACATTGGAATATTTTTATTTTTACTTTATTGTGTTACCAAACACTTCCATAGTATTTACTATATTTAGGAACTATTCTACTGAATATTAACTAATTTAAATCATCAAAAGAGCCCTATGAGACAGGTGCTATTGTGATTCTCATTATTAGTCAGAACACATTTGTTTTGGTCTAACTTAAAATGGAATTTAAATGACACACAGTGAGAAACACTACGAGCCACTTCAAATGTTTTTCTTCCATGGAGAACAGTGCAAGACACATTCTTTAAAAAACTTAGTTAAATGAGTTTTAAAACTTACAAGTTTAGATCAGACAAAATGCATTGACTCACTGAAACTACTCCATTTTCACACAGCCACAGATCTGCAAGTCCATTTCATCATAACCATTAATAAATCACAAGACAGATGCTCCAAATTGCAGGTGTTGCTAATAGTGATAGCTCACATTTCTTAATGCTTTACAAGTATTATATCTGGTAATCCTATAACAATTCTGTAAAGTAGATATTATCGGTTATAGCCATTTTACAGAGGAGGGAACTGAGATGCAAAGACCTCAAACGTAGTGTTCATGCACTCTAAGCTCAAACAGATAGTAAGGGGCAAAGCCAGGCTTCACACCCAGGCAGTCTGACTTCTGGTGTCCCTGCCCATCTAGCCCCAGGCTGCCACTCAGGACAGCTTCAGAGTGAGCAACAGTCTTGAAGTATAGATGACAGATGTGATAGATAAAGTAATCCTGTTACAAAGTTAAACATAATCACAGCTCTGAATTATTACAATTACAGAAAATTATTATAACATATTAATTTTTATTATGTATATTAAGTTGTATTTGCATTGTATTTGCCAGTGGCTAATTATTATCCTGAGCAATGCTGGGTCACGTGGCTACTGGTTAATGATAAGGAAATTACTAAACACGTTGTGGTACACTAATATTATGAAAGACCATGACGATGTGAAAGCTAAAAAAATGGAAAAAATGTAAAAGCAAAAAATATTTATAATATAGTATTAAGCGAAAAAACAAACACACAATTCATATAATTACATATTACAAAAATGTAGATTTCACTATGCTTAAAATATTATTAAAAAGAAATGCATATTATCAAAAACTAGAAGGTAGTGTGAAAAATATGAAACTAATTTGTCTTTGGGTAGTAGGTTAAGATAATTATTTTTCTATTTTAAAAATCTTTTAGTAATATTATATTAAAATTTGTATAAATCTGAAAAAAAAAAAAAGAAAATCCGAATGCTTTCCAACTCATTTCTCTGTCCATCTGCCTTTAGTTTTCTAAGCAAACCCTAAAGTTTCTCTCTGCAGGCGGGGGCGAGGGCGTGTGCAGGGAGTGCTGATGGCAATCTAATATGTGAGCACTTTTGGTGAAATCAGTTTGGTTCAGTGTTACAGCATCAATTTAATATTCTTTGTTATGGATGATAAATCATACTGAGTATAAAACAGATTCTAAAGGTTTGTGTAGAAATGTATAAAATGTATAGAAAAGTCTCTGGAAGATATCTCAGTTTGGAATGTGAAGGCATTTGTGAAATAATTAGGATAGTTTAACTGAGGCTGTGCCAAGAGATGACAATTTAACTAGGAAGGAAAATTGTCAGTTTCAGAAAGAGGATCACACTATTAAATGACCTAATTTTGTTAGACGGCCAACATCCCCAATATCGGAGTATTCATGAGTACAGTTACTAGTGCTGAGGCTCTCAGAATTCTTAGCTAAAGACATTGATCATGGCTCTGACTGCCTAGGCTATGTGAAAAAACATGACGTACAAAAAGTAAGTAGAAGTATATTTTAATCAACAGAAACCTCATATTTGTTATTTCTGTTGAATGATAATTTTTGGAAACTCAGTAATTTACGTAAGAATATCTTTTAAATAAAGAATGTGGGCCAGTCACGGTGGCTCACACCTGTAATCCCAGTACTTTGGGAGGCCGAGGCAAGTGGATCACTTGAGGTCAGGAGTTTGAGACCAGCCTGGCCAACATGGCAAAACCCCGTCTCTACTTTAAAAAATACAAAAATTAGCCAGCATGGTGGCGTGTGCCTATAATCCCAGCTACTCGGGAGGCTGAGGTGGGAGAATCACTTGAACCCAGAGGCAGAGGTTGCAGTGAGCCAAGATCGTGCCACTGCACTCCAGCCTGGGCAACAGAGCAAGACTCCATCTCAAAAAAGAATGTGATTTTTTAGCCACAAACTAGGAGTCCTATTTATTGGAAAACTCACACATACACTAGGGAGAGGAGGGTGGTGCTTCGGCTGAGCTCTAAAAAGCAGTAATTTTTCATTTATAAAAGGGCATTTTATGAGTAGAAGACAAGTCATTATGATATTTAACTCAGGAACAGCCCTATTTCATATTCTGGCAGGAGTCAAGGGTACAGAACCTCAAATGAAGGATAAAGAAGAGAAATGAAAGCTCTCTGAAGATTAACTTGTGGTTTGTCCTTTCCGTCCAAATAGAGATGGGTGCCTGGGAGGCCCCCCTTTTTCTGTTCTACATTACTCTTTCCTTTTCTGTTTCCTAATATACATACACTCCTACCTCTATACCTACCCCACCTTCACCCCCAAGCCTGAGGCTGCAGCCTGTCAAGGCCCTTCAATGTCACAGCCAGTGAGACCACCTTTCTTATGAGCCTACAACAAAAAGTAACTTGTCCCTTGCTCAATGCTGGACCCACAAGAACGGATCCACAGTTATTTGAGCCTTATGGTTAGGCCTTTCAGATTCTTAGAATCTAAACAACAGATAAATCTCTTGCTAATATTGAAAGTCTCTTACAGCATAAATTTGAGGTTTCATTACACGAAAAGGCTCTCTACCAACAATGATGATACAAAGCAAGCAAAGACAAGAGGAGGACTTAGAACTCTGTCCTGCCACAAATGTACAGTCATAACTCGACAGAGCAGCAACCTTGCAAACGTAGGAGTCAAGGAAATACTTGTCTTCCTCCTGGTGAGTTTAGACTGTATCATCTCTGAGAATGAATATTTGTCTTTGGGATGTTTGTGTGGACATCTGAGTAAACAGTTACCAGCTAGACACTTGGAAAACTAAGGAGGAGAGTCTGCAAGTCACCTGATAAGGAGAACTTGAACTTGAATGCGAACAGACTTAAGTATGCCTGCCCTGAGCTGTTCTGCAAAATTTGGAGTGCCAAGGCCGCTGTGGACTATCCTATTAAGAGTGTCTGCAGCACTATTCTAGAATGAATAACTTAGACTTGAGGAATGCGGTGCTGAAGAAACCTTGTCAGGAGTGTAGGGAAGGATTCTAAGGCAAGAACAACTCTTATGAATGAGGTTGCCATTTCCCAGAAGATAGGTAGGAGTCACCCTGTAGAGTGGAAAGAGGAGTGGGATTAGAACTGGTAACACCCATGAGGGGACCCCCATAAAGTGTTTAACTTCATGGTGGCTCATGCCTGTAATCCTAGTACTTTGGGAGGCTAAGGCAGGTGGATCACTTAAGGTCAGGAGTTCGAGACCAGCCGGGCCAACATTGCAAAACCCCGTCTCTACTAAAAATACAAAAAATTAGCCAGACGTGGTGGTGCATGCCTATAATCCCAGCTACTCCAGAGGCTGAGGCACCCGGGAGGCAGAGGTTGCAGTGAGCTGAGATCATGCCACTGCACTCCAGCTTGGGCAACAGAGCGAAACTCCATCTCAAGAAAAAAAAAATTTTTTTAACTCCTTAGTGCTGTCTCTTGGAGTATGGGAGAAGTCATATTAGCATATAGTTTAGTTACCCCAACTGTACAATAAAATCTGATAATCTTACACATGCTTGTGTGGTATTGTGAAGCAACCAGGCTATAAAGGAAAGGGTAGCTTACCCCATACTCATCGCCTCATGGGGGACTACACAGGGCCCAGCATCTATCAAGGAAACTGTTTCAGAATATGACCATCAAAAAAGGGAGCCGTTGTTCCCATTGAACCTGGAAATGATGAGGAGAAGCAAAGGATACTGGCCACTAAAAGCCTGGTGCCCAGCTCAAGAGCAGCCTGAATTAAACCCTCTATTGGAGGCCAGCTGATGATTACACTACAAATCTCTACTTGAGCTTAATTTGGTAAATTCATTTTCTTAAATCCATTTTATCTAGATTTTAAAAATCATTAGCATAGTTACACAAATGACTCTCTATAATTAATTTCCACCGTATCGTGGCTACTTTCCATGTATCATTCCTAAACTTTTATAATGTCTTTTCTCTTTTTTAAATTGATTTGGCTCGCTGATATTTTATTTTATTGATTTTGTTTTCTATTTGTATGTCTACCATTCCTCCCCCTGCCAGATGCACACACAAAACTGAATTTTTTTTATCAATTTTAAACAGGATTCTAACTTATTATATATTCTCCTTTTATCATTTCAAAATTCTCACCTCCTTTTTTTCTGATCATTTTTTAGCAATTCATTTGAAAATAAATGAATAGGAAATTTATTTTTAATCTTCTTGATTTAGGTAATGAAAATGTTTAAAGCTAGGAATTTTCCTTGCATTCTGCTTGGCCATACCTCACAGATTTTCCTCATAATGTTGCCACTATCACCGTTTTCAATGCATTCTTAATTGCAGATTTGAAATTCCCTCTATCTTTTCAGAGTAAATGGGAAGAATTTTTTTCCAAGAAGTTAAAGTGTTTCTTTCTTCCATCTTTTGTTATTTATTTCAATTGTATTGTACTGTGGTCAGAAAATCCTGCCATAATAGATCAACTTTTCAAAACATATACTGAGGTTTACTTTTTGATCCATATGGTCAATTTTTTTAATGTCTCGTGGGCATTTGAAAATAAGGTATATTTTCTATTCTCAAAGTTCTGTGTGTGTGTGTGTGTCTTTTTCAATATAGATAGATAGGTATGACAACCTTATTAATTGTTTTGTTCTCAGAACACAATGTTAAGGGCTCAAACCTACTGTCAAGCAAACCTGGGTCCAACACTTTCTGTGTGATCTTGAGCATATCATTGACCACTCTAAATCCCAGTTATCATGGGATTAGTATCCCAATGACTGCGGACTTTGTAGACATTTCTTTCTGATGTTTAATGGAGTCCAAATAGTAGGTCTCTATAGGAACTCCTATTAAAATCTCCTGTCTTTCTTTACGCTCTAATGCCCTGAACTCCCAGAATCTTCTCACTCTTCTATGCCAATAAAAATTCTCTGGCCAGGCGTGGTGGCTCATGCCTGTGATCGCAGCACTTTGGGAGGCCGAGGCAGGTGGATCACCTGAGGTCAGTAGTTTGAGTCCAGCCTGACTAACATGGTTGAAACCCCATTTCTACTAAATACAAAAAATTATCCAGGCATGGTGGCGTATGCCTGTAATCCCAGCTACTCAGGAGGCTGAGGCAGGAGAATTGCTTGAACCTGGGAGGCGGAGGTTGCAGTGAACCGAGATCGCGCAATTGCACTCCAGCTTAGGCAACAAGAGTGAAACTCCGTCTCACTCTGTCGCCCAGGCTAGAGTGCAGTGGCACATTCTTGGCTCACTGCAACCTCTGCCTCCCAGGTTCAAGCGATTCTTGTGCCTCAGCCTCCCAAGTAGCTGGGTTTACAGGCACATGCCATGACATCCGGCTAATTTTTTATATTTTTGGTAGAGATGGGGTTTCACCATGTTGGCCAGGCTAGTCTTGAACTCTTGACCTCAAGTGATCCACCCACCTGGACCTCCCAAAGTGCTGGGATTACAGGTGTGAGCCACTGTGCCCGGCCAAAATTCTCTTTTTCTGACATCTTGGGCTCCCCAAGCCCTCTGTCCTCTACTCATTCCCATCTCTATGTGTCAAGCTCCAGACACAGGGCCTTGAGCTGTTGTCTCTCATCCTGAGTAAATGCCACTTGTCTTCAGTCCTAGTGCTTGAGAATCCATCCTCTGCTTTTCCCTGCCGATTCCTTGTCCTTTTTCTCCTCAAAGAACAGAGAAAGAAGCAGAAGCAGAGAAAATGGTGACAAACTCTCCACATGTTAATAAATGTTATCACAGCTATTTTTAAGTCTCATTACCTGCCTCACATGTGTCAAACCTTAGAATTCCAAAGAGCCACATACATCACCCAACTACCACAGTGAGTAGCATCCAGACAAGGTGAATTTTACAAGGTTACAAAGCTGCTCAGTTAACTTGTCCCAATCCAGTTTCCTCTCCACTATTTTAGCCTGAACTTCTTGGGAATTTCCTGGCTGCATCATTTGTGATGGCTTCATCTTAATGCATGCAAATCAGTTCCCTTTAGTTTTTCCCTAAATTTCCTAGTCCGGTTGACCAGATAAAAAAATGTGTAGAAGACTCTGCCTTCTATTCCTTCCTTCATCCCCCAGCTACCCACCTTTACACTCCCTCCTCATTGCTCCAGAAAGGAGCAAATCCAGAGTTGGTCTCATTCCAGAATCTGAGAAAGACACCACCTACTTCAGAAGAGCAGAAACTCTTTACAACACCAGGATTGGGAAGAGGTGGCTAAAGAAAAAGGAAAATCCTTACACAAAGAACTACCTGATACACATGAAAGCCTACACTGAGAACATCTCATCTAGGTCTTACCACCAAAAAGGCATTTTTTTCCCTCTCATAGAAACCACAAAGGTCTGAATCTGACCCAGAGGACTATCCTTTTCTAATCATGGAAAGGAATCTTGACTTGAAACTGTCCAAGAGCTCCGACCAATCCAGTAGCAAGAGAAAGGGTGGCCGGGGTGCCTACTGATGGGAGGAGCTCCTGAGCCCAGCCCTGGAGGCCTCAGAGTTCAGGGGCCCACTTAGATGATACCAGAGAGCAAGAGAGAGGAACTGGGGTTTGCGAACCTTGTGGCTTTGTCTGTTTCCTGTTTCAGCAAGGCTGCTGTGCAAAAAGAAAGACGGTACCAAGAAGGGACGTGTTAATGGGGCCCAGACCTATGGATTGAAAGCGTGTGCTTTACCCATCTGCTGTCTTGCTCCATCTGAGACCAGAGCCAAGATCTGCCCAGGACTGGAATGCTTTCCCGAGTGGCTTGAGTTGGAGCCTGGGACTAGGAGGTAACTGAGAAGGAGGATGCTTTTGTGTCCAGGTTTGGGAACTCCAACTTCGGGGTAGGGCAGAAGATGCTCTACCATCCCAGCTCCCCTGGGTGGAGAGTGGGTGGCATAGTTTAAGGGTGTCAGGGGTTTGGGTAACCAAGAAAGTATCCTGTATTGGTTTCCTGTGGCGCTAGCCATGGCACAGGGTACAGCTTGCACCACTCCTCTGTTCCAGTAGATTAGATTACATTAGATTAGGAGTGAGTCAAACGACTTAGAGTTCAGGCTACCCAGTGATATGGGCATGAATTAAATGACCTTTTACAGTTTTCTTCAAAGCAGGGATCCCTGAACACAAGACTGCCTTCCCAGCAGCTTAAGCGCAGGCCCCTCTCCCCTCAGTTCACACTGAGAGCTCTGGGCCAGGAAGGCCAACCCATGCAGGAAGCCATTCATTGTCTCCATTACAAACATGGCCAGGAAGTAAAAGCGAGACTCAGAAAGGCATGTCAAGCCACAGTCAGGTGAGGAGCCATGCCCTGTTCTCTCTCTGCAGCCTGAGAGACCAGGCTGAGCCTTCCCAGCCAGTAAACCTTCTTCCTCCAAGCTCTAAGTGAGCCCAGTCATGCTGCCAGGGGGGAACCTGAGAGATGCCAGAAAGCCTGGGCAGTGGCCAAGTGATCTTTCTTTGAACCCTACAGGGACCAGTTCCCTTTTCTTTAGCAGCCTACCCCTGTCAGCCGTCCCACATACCTTCTTGTTTTCAAGCAAGTCAGTAGGGTCCAGATATCCCAGAAACCTGGGTAGGGTTCTATGCAGCATGCTGCACCAAATCCTAGCAGGTGTGGTAGCCAAGGCATCTGGGAACACTCCCCTCTCTAAGGAGCCATTTCCACTGCAGCTCCTTTCTTGGGTAAGAAGGCTCCATGTCTGCCCCAAGGAAGCAGAGAGCAGAGCAGCTGTGTGTTTCAGTGGACTAAGGTTGGTGGCCTGGGTGGAGAGCCCAGAGAGACCTCATCTCAGGCACTGTCTTCTCCCCCACAGCCCTTTCCTCTTCGCGGCAAGAAGGTAGGAGGATTCTCAATGTTCTGCCTCCACTACAAAACCTGTGGGGAAGCTGAGCCAAACAGGGAGGGGACCTCACACCTTATGTGTGACACAGGCAGACCCCATCTCTTCCTTACCTTTCGGCTTGGTGTAATTGGGATGGCAATTATGTCCAGACCACAGAGAAGCCTTTCTCCTTATAGCCCAAACCCAGAGGTCAGAAGTAAATGTGACTTCAGCCTGGGGCCAGCATCCCCTCAATCTGGTAAACAATATACTCTGTCAAAGAGAGAGAGGGTTGAGAGGATGAGAGAAGGCATTCTTGGTCCTAGAAGTGCTAGTTTAGCTTGGAGCCTTTGTCTTACAGCACCAAGTCTTCAATATCCAACATCGGCATAACAAGGATAATATTCGCAATTACTTTTGCACCAACCTAATAGGAATACTTTATGTCTTTATTATTAAAAGGTAACATTTATTGTGTGCTCCATGCCAGGTGCATGGCCTGCATTTTGTCATTTAATCCTTATAACCTACAAGGCAGGTCCTAGCCCCATTTTATAAATGAGGAGACTGGGGCTTAGAGATGTTTAATAGCTTATCTAAAAACACACACAGGTTGTAGGTGACAGAGCCAGGACATGAGTCCACGCAGTGTGACTCCAAGAGCCAGGGTTCTCCACTGCAATCCATGGCAGAATAGCCAGGGGCTGTGGCTCAGGGATGCTGTGAGTGTAGGTTCTAGACATGGAGTTCACATGCACATAATCCTGCGTCTCCTCCATTCAGTCATTTATAACAATAGACATGGGTCTCTCAGACCCTTTCTTTTAAGTCTTTAAATAAAGAAAGTGGCAGGGAAGAAGTCAAGGGACCACCCCCTATGCCCACTCCCACCCTTATCCGAGAAGAAGAAGTAAGGAAAAACAAAGAAGAGAGCCATTCAGAATGGGTATGTAGAGGACAAACATTAATAACCTCACATTTCTGCTTGGAATCAATGCTGCCTGACACCAGAGTATGCCCCTCCAACCCTCAAGAGTCAGGCATTTGAGTGTCCAGGGCTTGACCACACAAAACTCCTCTCAGGGAAGAAGACTGCCCCACCCATGACCCTGGGGAATGAGTGGTAGGATCAGAGAGAAAACAAGAATCCTGCAGAGAATTCCAGACTGAGCCAGAGTAGCGAAGTCCCAGTAAAGGGGCAGAGAGTCTGCTACCTGTTGAGTCTGTTTGGCCTATAAATAAACCCCAAGGGGTTAGAGCTAGCAAATGCCTGCTAGTTGGTGAAGCTGAGATACCCTCCTCCCAGGGTGGTGGGTAATGAGGTCGTGGGAGGAAGAGAAGCAGCAGCAGCTGTGAGGGGGAGTCCCTCTTCCTTCATCAGTCCCTGGTCTGACTCCAGTGATCAGAGGAGGCAGGACACAGAATTTCCAACGCTCAGGATCCAGCTCATCCAAATCCAGCCCAACTCAGCAAAGTGACCAGAGGGTTCTAGGAGGATAAACTACAGAAGGTAGGTGGGGAAGAGTAGGAAAGAGAAAGGCACAGAGAAGGAAAAGGGGATTCAGGTCTAGGTGCTATGTGAATATCAGGTAAGGCCATGCAGAGGGTCATCCTGTGGCCCCTACACCAAGCCTGGCTCCCTGGAAACTTCTGATTACTGTCTTTGTTTTGTTTCTTTTCTGTTTGCAGCAGCCTTATTGAGGTACAATTCATGTGCTTGTGGGTTTGGATGGCACAATCTGTGTCTGGGCTAAGGAAAGCAGACTTGGCACCAACATTAACCCTGACAGGTTGGTAATCCTAAAGAAATGGAACCCTCAGCCCCAACAGTATTGGAGCCAGATGCTCTGAAATGGGTTTTGGCCAGCACTAGGCATGTGGCAGATGCTCAGTCAATATTGATTGGACTTGATCTGCACCTGAGAGACACAGCCCAGTCCTGAGCTTGGAGTGGGGGGCCCATGGACCATTGTCAGGACAGCAGGTTGGAGGAATTAGGGTAGGGTTTCCCTCCTAAACCATGCCAGGTCCAGGCTCACAAGCTCGTTGCTAAAAGTCAAGAAGAGAGCAGTGGGTGCTGGTCACAGGACTGGTCACCACCTGAGGGGGTGTGGTTAGCCCTCCAGATCCTTGAGAAGTGTCACTCAACTATGTTAGTGACAGCTTGGACCAAGAGACCAGTAAAGATACTGACTTTCCTTTTCAACTGGGGGATAAGAGGGCAGATTGGCTCAACTTAGCTGCTTCTCTAGAAGTCTGGAAAATGAACACACACCTGCCATCCAAGAGGCTATAAGCTCATTATGATTTTAATCAATTATTTCTCATGTTCCCCTGACTCAGAGGCATGGTAAGATGTTCAGTCAAGGAGTAAGTGGCAGCCATAGAGACCCTTTTACTTTACAAAGGGGAAACATCGGCTAGAGAAAAGCAGGAATTCACTTTTATAAGACTGTATTAGTTCATTAGAGACTGAGCCCAAGAGTCCTGACTCCCACTTTGATACCACCATGTCCTCAGTTTTCAACCCACATGGATGGAACTCTGTGCTATTTCTGCCCCCTGGTCTAGGGAGATAGTCATTTTTCTGCCCATCTTCTGACCCCTCCCCTTCTCCTCCCTCTTGGCATTTGGCAGATCCAGGCATCTATTCCAGGAACTGGAAGCCAAGCGCAACAGGTGCTTGGAGGTCATCATGATCAGCCCAGACCCCAGGCCCTCCCCTGGCTTGGCCCGGTGGGCTGAGAGCTATGAGGCCAAGTGTGAGCGCAGGCAAGAGATCCGTGAAAGCCGCCGCTGCCGTCCCAATGTGACCACTTGCCGCCAGGTGGGGAAGACGCTGAGGATCCAACAGAGAGAGCAGCTCCAGAGAGCTCGACTGCAGCAGTTCTTCAGGAGGAGGAACCTGGAGCTAGAGGAGAAGGGCAAAGCGCAGCATCCCCAGGCCAGGGAGCAAGGGCCCTCCAGGCGGCCAGGACAGGTGACTGTCCTCAAGGAACCCTTGTCTTGTGCCAGAAGGATTTCTTCTCCCAGAGAGCAGGTGGGCCGTGTCAAGGGACATACTGCTGTGTGCTCTGGGACCCTCTCTGGACAAGGAGGGTGGGTGGGCTCAAGGTCACTAAAAAGTGACCTAAATCAAGTCCTTCTTCCTCAGTCATATAGTAAAGTTGCCAAGAGCTACTTATAGTAAAGTTGCCAACAGCTACTTATTCAGAGATTTTTGCTGTTGTGTTTTCGTTTGTTTAGCTCTTTTTGTTCTGCACTTGACTTATAAGAGAGAAAAAATAATTTTTAAAAACAATTTCAGGCTGGGCATGTTGGCTTATACCTGTAATCCCAGTACTTTGGGAGGCCAAGGCAGGAGGATCACTTGAGGCCAGGAGTTCGAGACCAGCCTTTTGATAGAGACAAGACCCTGTCTCTATCAAAAACTTTACAAACTAACCAGGCATGGTGGTGCACACCTGTAGTCCTAACTAATCAGGAGGCAAAGATGGGAGGATTACTTGAACCCAGGAGTTTGAAGCTGCAATAAGCTATGATCACACCATTGCACTCCAGCCTGGGCAAGAGAGGGAGACCCTATCTCTAAAAAACTTAAAAATAAAATAAATAAAAATAATTCCAAAGCTAATGCCTATATCAGTTCAAATTTAGGCAATATACACATGTCTTCTACAGCTATCTTACAGCATTCATTCATCCATCAGTCATCAAATATTTACTGAAAGCTTATTATATGCCAAGCACACAGGCCAGTCTTCTTGACACACACACAGACATATCTGTCCTCTTTTCTTCTGCAAGGCTGTTGTGCCCACTCTTCTCACTTCCTCTTGTGTCATTCCAATTCTATTAAATCACTTGACTATAGCCTCATCTGGTCCAGGAAGCTTTCCCTGGCTTCTCCAGGCCACCTCTGCTGTCTATGGGCCTTGTGAGGTTAAAATCTTCTAAGATTGTGTAACCCTTAGAGGGCCCATTAGTCTGGCCTGGAAAGGAACAATGTTGGCAAAAACCAGGGTATGCTGAGATGACCTTGGCCAGCAAACCATCTTCCTACTGAAGTTGTGAGCATGTTGACAGCAGGGATGTGTCCACTATGTTCCATGGTAATGCTTGGCATTGTTCCCTACCCAGAGTGGGTACTCTATCAGGGCTTCTTAACTAGTGGATCTGTTATGCTCAATAGGAGATGCTGTTCAGAGAAATGATCCTAGAGCCCAGTTGCAAAAGAAAAGGAACTGTATACTAAAGCAAAAAACCTTCCCACAACTCCCCACTTTACCTAGTCTTCACACAAAACCTCAATGATTTTCTAGCTGTTACTAAGAGAAAGGAGGCTTTCCTTTGAATATGGAAGGAACCTTATGGATTATCTATTCCAAACTCCTCACTACACAGACAGAAGACTGAGACCTAGAAAAGATGGGATCTGAACCCAGATCCCCTCACTCCCCACTCAGACCAGTTCTCTTTCCACATCACCATGCTGGCTATGTAAGTGGCCATAACCAAACAAGGTAGAGAGAGAAAAAAAAACAACAACTAGAGATTCTAGAGAGAAAACCTGGAGAAAAGTACAGCTCCACATATGCCTGGCCTGAGGAGGACCATTTCTGCCAGTCAGGACAAGGATATCAGGAGCAGGAGAAGCCTGTGTGGCTCTGAAAGCTTGAGTGGGCTACTTTGGTTTTGTGGATCTGAAACATTGTCTTCGTCCTGTAATGAATTACCACAGACTGGGTGGCTTAAATAACAGAAATTTATTTCTTACAATTCTGGAGTCTGGAGTTCTAAACCCATGGATTCTGCAGATCTGGTGTCTGATGAGAGCACTCTTCCCACTATGCAGATGGCCTTCTTCTCATTGTGTCCTCACAAGGCAGAGAGCAGAGAGAGAAAGCAAGCTCTCTCGTGTCTCTTCTAATAATGGCACTAATCCCATTCATGAGGGCTACCTGCTCTGACCTAATTATTTCTCAAAGTCTCCACCTCCTAATACTATCACATTGGGAGATAGGATTTCAACACACAGATTTGGGCGGGGGGACAATAAACACTCAGTCCATAACAAACATGATGGTTAGTTCTTCCTTCCGAAATCATCAGGAGAGTCTTTCAAGAGGCTCCAGGCAGTGGTTTTCAGCATTCCCCACTTGCCTTCCAGGTGACAGGCACCAGCTCTGAAGTCTTTCCAGCCCAGCATCCTCCTCCCTCAGGCATCTGCAGGGATCTGTCTGACCACCTCTCCTCACAGGCTGGGGGCCTTCCTCCACAGGACACTCCCATCAAGAAGCCACCCAAACACCACCGTGGTAAGAGCAGAGCCTCCCTCACTCCACAGGGCCTGCAGAGAATCCTGAGACAACTGTCCCAGCTCACTGGCAATGGAGAGTCCCTGTCCCTCCCCACTTCCCTCACTTCCTCCCTGTAAGTTCTAAATCAACTTATCCTCCATCTCTCAGGTACTCAGACAAAGGCAGAAGGACCAACAATTAAGAACGATGCCAGTCAGCAAACCAAGTGAGTTCCTGACCCTAACCCTCTCACATCCCATCCATTCCTCTCTAGAGAGAACACAATGAATTTCCATGTCCGCCTTAATTAAGAAAGAGGAAGCCCTTCCCCACCCTACTGGCTCTTCAGAAGGAATCAACCCACTGCCTCCTGACTTGATTCTTTGGTCCATTATCATTATTTTTAATTTCTTCTCTTTCCAGTTACGGAGTTGCAGTTCTGGATAAGGTAAGCACATATTCACTTTGAAGGGGTCAAATCAGAAAGTATTAAGCTCTGACATTCTGGAATTCCATGATAAACTTGGCTGGGATGGAGGGGCATCTTCTTCCTGGATGGCAAGGGGGTACTGAGCATAGACATGGGGACTAAAGGGACCCTGTCAGAGCCAAAGCAGAAGAGGTTTGCTCTACACAAGCCAGCCCAGGCTCTGGTTCTATATCCCAGGGTTTCAGGGGACTTACAGACATTTTGAATACCCTTGTTCTTTCTCTCCAGGAAATCATCCAGCTTTCTGATTACCTCAAAGTAAGTGGCATGTGACCCCTCCCCTCAGTTCCTCCATCCACTTACCCCCGATCCTCCAGGTTAATCTTACCCTCTTGCACTTTGTGCCCGCACCCCCAGGAGGCCCTACAAAGGGAGCTGGTCCTAAAACAGAAAATGGTGATTCTCCAAGACCTACTGTCCACTCTGATTCAGGCCTCTGACAGCTCTTGGAAGGTAAGGGAATGAAATTCTTTTTGAACAAAGCTTGGGCTTCTATGTGTTCCCATCTCATTTTTCTTTCCACATCATCACAGTAAGAGAAGGGGTTTTCTCACTACTGAAAAGTAAGCTGGGAAGAGGCAGGAGATGAGGGGGATGGTGCTCAGACCTAGAAGTCAAACAGGTCACAATAAATATATGGGTCATCACCTGAGGGTCATGGTGCTACATATCCAAGGAAGACCCAGAAACAAAAGTGGCAAGAATTCCCATTTTTTAATTTGTTGGAAGGAATGAAGGAAGATCCCAATATAGTTTACATTACTAAATATGCTAAATGTCAAATATTTTCATATGGGATTCCCACTGATATTTATCGAAACCAGCATGCCATGTACCCACTCAGTCCGAATAAAAATATCAGAGTGGGAAGGGACCTTAGAGACAATCTGGCCTAATACTCTCATTTTGCCCATGAGGAAACTGAGCTTCATAGGGGTCAAGTAACTTGCGAAAAGTCACACAGCTAGGTAGTGGCAGATCTGCAACTAAAATTCAGGCCTTTGATTTTAGTCCATTCAATGTACAATATTCATAGGTTATGTCCTCTATACAGAGCACTGGACTAGCACTAGAAATAATGAGATTATTTAGATAGGGTTCTTGCTTTGAGAAGGCTCACGGTTTTGTAAGAAAGACACATGACTAAACAATACAAAAACATGAAAAATAAAAGAAATGTTTTCAAGATATAGGAAAATACAAGAAGGAATGAGTGACTCCAGAGAAGAAAAGAGCCAGGGGAATACTTATATAAGCATTTGCCAGGAAAATATGGAAGAAGGAATAGTATTTTAGTTGGGGTACAGGCAAAGGTCTAAAGGCAAGGCCGGGGGTGGTGGCTCACACCTGTAATCCCAGCACTTTGGGAGCCCGAGGCGGGTGGATCACCTGAGGTCAGGAGTTCAAGACCAGCCTGGCCAACATGGCGAAACCCCGTCTCTACTAAAAATACAAAAATATTAGCTGGGTGTGGTTGCACATGCCTGTAATCCCAGCTACTCAGGAGGCTGAGGCAGGAGAATCGCTTGAACCAAGAAGGCAGAGGTTGCAGTAAGCTGAGATCACCTCATTGCACTCCAGCCTGGACAAAAGAGCGAGACTCCATCTCAAAAAAAAAAAAAAAAAATCTAAAGGCATGACACAGTCTAGTAAAATGGTTCTCCAATTTTTTTATTTCAGGATTCCTTTATACTTTTTAAATTATTGAAAATATATAAGAAATGTTTATATTTACCATACTAGAAATTAAAACAGTTGGCCAGGTGCCGTGCATCATGTCTGTAAATCCCAGCACTTTGGAAGGCTGATGCAGGAAGATCACCTGAGGTCAGGAATTAGAGACCAGCCCGGCCAACATGGCAAAACCCTGTCTCTACTAAAAATACAAAAATTAGCCAGGCGTGGTGGTGCACACCTGTAATCTCAGCTACTCCGGAGGCTGGGCCACGAGAATCGCTTGAGCCCAGGAAGTGGAGGTTGCAGTGAGCGATGATAGTGCCACTACACTCCAGCCTAGATGACAGAGCAGGACTCTGAGAGACAGGAGAGAGAGAGAGAGAGAGAGAGAGAGAGAGAGAGGGAGAGAGAGAGAGAGGAAGGAAGGAAGGAAGGAAGGAAGGAAGGAAGGAAGGAAGGAAGGAAGGAAGGAAGGAAGAAATTAAGATAGAAATTGAGAAAGAATTATTAATTTTAAAATAATGAGAGTAAAATTTTTCATGCTAACCTGAATTACATGTTTTAAGAAAAACAGTCTGGGTGCGGTGGTTCACACCTGTAATCCCAGACTTTGGGAGGCCAAGGCAGGTGGATCACTTGAGCTCAGGAGTTCAAGACCAGCCTGGGCAACATGGCAAAACCTCGTCTCTACTAAAAATACAAAAAATTAGCCAGGTACATTGGCATGCACCTGTAGTCTTAGGAACTCAGGAGGCTAAGGCAGGAGAATCTCTTACGTCCCAGGGGTGGAGGTTGCAGTGAGCCAAGACTGCACCACTGCATTCCAGCCTGGGCGATGGGAGTGAAACTCTGTCTCAAAAAAGAAAAAGAAAAAGAACCATATTTTCAAAAACAAAATTAGTGACAGGAGTATCATTGCTTTACACTTTTGCAAATATTTTTAATGTCTGGCTGAAAAAAAAGACAGCTAGCTTCTCAATTTGCTTCTGTATTCAATCTATTGGTTTAAACATAAAGAAAAATTCAGTTTCACACAAATATGTCATTAGAAAAAGTAAGACTTTGCTGATCCCTTAAAAGGGTCTTGGGGATTCCCAAGTTTCCTCAGAATCCCCATGTTGAAACCTGTAAATTAGTATGTACTATAAATTCATGTATTAATATGAGCTACAAGCAGCTTGACACCACCAAAGCATACCGCACCGGGTGGAAAGAGATGGAGCACACAACCTCACCGGCCTGTGTGACATCTCACCCTACCTTGAAGATGGCTTGAGCAGAGAAAGAAAGATGATGGGAGAGTATGGAACAAAACTGAGAAGTTGCAGTGATGTAAAAAAGATTTCCTAAGCTCAGCCCTGCTCCTCACGTCAGACATTGTACCTGGATTTCTCAATCTGTGGTCAGAGCTCCTGATTGTTAGGTCATTTTCATTGACAGAGCAGGAACTTGGGGCAGACAGCTGTGCACGTGAGGTGGTTTCTGGTCCTGAACTAAATTGAGATCATCTCACTCATTTGTTTGACAGTCATTTGATAAGTTCCAACTCTGTGCTGGGCCTTGTGCTACAGGGGCAAAGAGCATTACAGTCCTAACTCTTGAGGAGCTCACAGTCCAGCCATGAAGACAGAGACATGTAATAAATAACACCAAAACAGTATAATAAGGCTATAGCAGCAGTGCATAAAGCATGATGCAGGAAAAAGAGAAAGAAGGCAGCAATTATTCCACCTGAGGTGGAACAGGGAAGGCTTTAAAGGAAGGAAACCTGGCCAGGCACGGCAGCTCATGCCTATAATCCCAGCACTTTGGGAGGCCAAGGCAGGTGGACCACTTGAGGCCAGGAGTTCAAGACCAGCCTGGCCAACATGGCGAAAACCCGTCTCTACTAAAGATACAAAAATTAGCTGAGCGTAATCGTGCATGCCTGAAGTCCGAGCTACTCAGGAGGCTGAGACACAAGAATTGCTTGAACCCAGGAGGTGGAGGTTGCAGTGAGCTGAGATTGTGCCACTGCACTCCAGCCTGGGTGACGGAGCAAGATTCTGTCTCAAAAAATAAAAATAAAGGAAAGAAACCATTTTAGCTGAATCTTGAAGGATGAGTAGGAGCTAACCAGTAGAGAAGCAAGAGTGATGATGAGGGAAAAAAGCAGAAAGTAGAAGAGTGTTTAAGGTAAAGGAATTGGAATGATTACAGGCCTATGTATGGCAAAGAATTGGGTATAGCAGAGTATGGCTGAAATGAAGGTATGCCAGAGTAGTACCAAAGAAAGGATCTCAGACAGGTCTTTAGAATTATGGGTCTTAAACTTTTTCTGTTGAACAAGGTATCTCAAACTTGAATAATGCATGGACCCATTTTTAAAGGAAACCCATATATGTATATATATAAAATCAGAGATCCTTTAGAATGCATGCTACCCAGCTTGAGAAACACTGCTATAGGTAATAAGCTGAGTAAGAATGGAACTATGCTTTATTGAGGTATAAAGTCCTACACTTAGCAATGTCTGGCTCATCCTTAGAAGGTATGCAATTACTATCTGAGGAAATGACTTGTGAATGATCAGATCTGTGTCTTAAAAAGTTCTGTAATTTCCAACTGGATGCAGTGTCTCACACCTGTAATCCCAACACTTTGGGGGGCCAAGGCAGAAGGATCACTTGAGTGATCAAGACCAGCCTGGGCAACATAGTGAGACCTCATCTCTATTAAAAATAAAAAAATTAGCCATGCATGGTGGTACACACCTATAGTCACAGCTACTTGGGAGGCTGAGGCAGGAGGATCGCTTGAGCCCAGGAGGTCCAGGCTGCACCACTGTACTCCTGCATGGGGTAACAGAGCAAGACCCTGTCTTGAAAAAAAAAAAAGAGGGGGGAGGGTTCAAGGATTATCTAACTTGTAGCAATAAGAACCCTGGCTCCAAGCAGGGGTTGGGGGAGTTGAGACTCTTGTAATATCCCAGGTAAGACACAACCAGAGCTTGAATCAAAGCAAGCTTTGTGGGAATGAGGGGGGATATATTAAGAGACATTTCTGGGTTTGTCTCCAAGGAGGAGTTTCACCCCATGCTCCAGCCCAAGAGCAGAAGTTCCCTTGGTTGTGGTTTCCTCCCTCCCTTCTTCTCACCCCTCCCAATCCTCACCCTTCTCTTCTTTGTCCCTCCTCCCCACCAACCCCCTAGCTTCCAGTTTTAAAGAAAAACAGTCTCAGACTTTTTCAGTTAACAGCTATTGTTTCCCCTAAAATAAGGTAATTCAACTCTCTATCTCTTCCATGAAAGCCTCAACTCCAATAAAAGTATAGCCCCAAACTGTGGTATCTGGGAAAAATAATTGGAAGAAAGTGGCCAGAACTGGTTCAGACCTTTATTTTTGCCATTTGACCTTCATAAATTTGAATTTCCAACTTCACATGCTGAGAACTTACCACAAACTCCCTATTAGAATCCCAAGGATCAGCTCCCTCCGCTGGCTTCACCTCCGGATGTCTCTGGGCCTTTTGGATACCATAGGCTCTGGGGCACTATTGAGACTCCTGAGGAGGGTCCAACCTTCAGGGCAGAAACAGCTCTACTAGCAGAGAAAGCAAGCTTTCAATATTGTGCAATACAAAAACGAGAGCAGGGCAGCCTTGGGTTTGAAGATCTGCGTCCTGGAATTAAGATCTTGAGATGACAGCGCAGCGGGGATTGGCTGAAGCCCTAAGCAACCTCTACTAGAGCAGAGAGATGAGCTGTGGGCTGGTGCTTCTGTGGTGAGGTGGTGGTGTTTCTGGAGAGCAGATCAGAGGCAGGGGAAAACCACGCAGAAGCAGGAGCTGAAGACCTCAGACCGGCACCAGGTGTGTATGGCCTCCGCCTTGCTCCTCTCTTCACTGGGGTTTATATGCCCTCTGAGCCCTCGGCTCCCGGGGTCTAACTGCCTAGAATGTCAGCAGTAGGCCTGTAAAAAGTGCTTCTTCCCACATACTGTAACACTGGGCTTCAGTGTGGGGGACCCTGGGGCTCAGACCAGGAAACTACATGCCCGATTTGCAACAACTTGGCTGCGACTTTTATGACGTTTTGGGGAGTCCAGAAAAGCAGAGCTGTGGAAAGAGGTTTCATTCAAGCTCCAGACTTGGGTGGCCCTTCATCCCCACTGAAGTGGCTATGGTAAATTGTCTTCCGTTGCAACACGAATGGAAAAGTAATTTGGGGTTGGGCCAATACAAAAACAGTTGAAAGAGGCAAAATATTGGATTAAAGCCATACTATGGAATGGGGAGAGAGGAGGTACCCCAAAAGGGTAGGAGACTGGGAAAATTTTAAGAATATTGCCTTAGGCCTGCTATATTCCCAAAATACAGCAAGATAAACCTTAAATTTGGTAGGTTTGATTGCATTCTGCATAGAAAGAGTTTGGGCAAAGGCAAATGTGTGGAACCGAAGATGTGAACCAGAGGAGGTAGGTGTAGAGCCAGTTGATTTCAGGACCTGTGGATTGACAATGAACAGGCCACAGTGGAATGCAGCCGTTTTACCAGTTACTTCAAAGCTCAAACAGTAGAAGTCTTTGTCCACGTCTTCCATCGGTCCCAAAGCCCTCTGCTTATTGTAGATGCCAAATCCCTGACTCTCTGCTCTCCCTCACATGAGACGTTAGGAAAAACATTAATAGCAGGAGGCACTTTAAAAAATTATTTTTGGCAACACTTTTTGCTTTTGCAAGCCCCAGCTGAGTAACACAGGAAGCTGAAAGGGTGGGGGCACCCCCTGGCTCCCATGGTTAGAAGAATAAGCCAAACAAGATCAAAACAGGAGCTGCGAGATACCACTTCCTGCCTCTCCCAGGCACCCTGAAACTCACTGAGGGAGGCGGACCTCAAAGCCGAGCCCCCTCCTCTACCCCCAGACCATTACAAACCGGAAATGTTATAAGAGATGGAAATGTCCAGGCCATCTGGCTGAGAGAGCCCATGGCGTCTCGGGCCTAAAGAGAGGTGGAATTTCAAGACCTCACAAGCGTCCCACTTGGCCTGGTTGGAAAAAGCCAGAGAAAAGATAGGAAAACCGGTCACTGCCCTTTCTCTGGAAAACTTGCTCTCATTGATGGCTCCTCCGCCCCCTCCCCTACACAGATACACCCTACACAAAACTCCAGGCTGGAAGAACAAAACCCCTACCTGGGCAAAAGGGGCAAGTCTACAAAGGGAGGGGACAAAAAAGTGGCAGGGAAGCTGTAGCTACTAAGCTGAAATACTGAAAAACCGAGAAACAGATTGGCTCTTCATGCCGGCCTTGCTCCCCTCTCGCCCTTGAGATTAGCATCTTTCTTGGAATGTCGAAAATACCATTAGACAGCCCCAGCTTATGAATAAATAGAATGTGACTTTCTGGGAAGCTCCCTTACACCCCCTGCCGCCCTCACTCTGCTTTAATATCTCTCCGTTTCTTGCTTTCTTAAAGAAGTTCTCATCTTGAGTCTAGTATGTACGTGTGCATGTGGAAATGTATGTATGCAGGTGGAGGTGTGTGTGTGGAGATGGAAGTGTGTATGTCCAGATGGAATTGTGCGTGTGCATGTGGAGGTGTGTGTGTGCAGGTGGAGGTGTGTGTGTGCATGTGGAGGTGTGTGTGTGCAGGTGGAGGTATGTGTGTGCATGTGGAGGTGTGTGTGTGCATGTGGAAGTGTGCGTGTGCATGTGAAAGTATGTGTGTGCAGGTGGAAGTGTGCGTGTGCAGGTGGAGGTGTGTGTGTCCAGGTAGAATGTGTGTGCATGTGGAGGTGTATCTGTGCATGTGGAGGTGTGTGTGCAGCTGGAAGTTGTGTGCAGGTGGAGGTGCACATGTGCATGTGAAGGTGTGTGTGTGCATATGGAGGTGTGTGTGTGCATGTGGAGGTGTGTGTGTGCAGGTGGAGGTGTGCGTGTGCAGGTGGAGGTGTGCGTGTGCAGGTGGAGGTGTGCGTGTGCCTATGGAGGTGTGTGTGTGTGCATATGGAGGTGTGTGTGTGCAGGTGGAGGTGTGTGTCTATATAGAAGTGTGTGTGTGCATGTGAAAGTGTGTGTGTGCCATGTGGAGGTGTGCGTGTGCAGGTGAAGGTGTGCGTGTGCAGGTGAAGGTGTGCGTGTGCAGGTGGAGGTGTGCGTGTGCATGTGGAGGGGTGCGTGTGCATGTGGAGGTGTGTGTGTGCAGGTGGAGGTGTGCGTGTGCATGTGGATGTGTGTGTGTGCTCAGGTGGAAGTGTGCGTGTGCATGTGGAGGTGTGTGTGCAGGTGGAGGTGTGTGTGTGCAGGTGGAAGTGTGCATGCATGTGGAAGTGTGCGTGTGCATATGGATGTGTGTGCATGTGAAGGTTGTGTGCATGTGGAGGTGTGCGTGCGCATGTGGAGGTGTGCGTGTTCATGTGAAGGTGTGTGTGTGCATGTGAAGGTATGTGTGTGCAGGTGGAGGTGTGTGTCCCTACGGAGGTGTGCATCTGCATGTGAAGGTGTGCGTGTGCATGTGAAGGTGTGTGTGTGCATGTGGAGGTGTATCTGTGCATGTGGAGGTGTGCGTGTGCAGCTGGAGGTGTGTGTGCAGGTGGAAGTGTGCATGTGCATGTGAAGGTATGCATGTGCAGGTGGAGGTGTGTGCATGTGGAGGTGTGTGTGCATGTGAAGGTGTGCGTGTGCATATGGAGGTGTGCGTGTGCATGTGAAGGTGTGTGTGAAGGTGTGTGTGTGCAGGTGGAGGTACGTGTATGCAGGTGGAGGTGTATGTGTGCAGTGGAAGTGTACGTGTGCATGTGGAGGTGTGTGTGCGCATGTGGTGTGCGTGTGCATATGGAGGTGTGCGTGTGCATGTGAAGGTGTGCATGTGAAGGTGTGTGTTCAGGTGGAGGTACGTGTGTGCAGGTGGAGGTGTATGTGTGCAGGTGGAAGTGTACGTGTGCATGTGGAGGTGTGTGCGCGCATGTGAAGGTGTGTGTGTATATGGAGGTGTGCGTGTGCATATGCAGGTGTGCGTGTGCATGTGAAGGTGTGTGTGTGCAGGTGGAGGTACGTGTGTGCAGGTGGAAGTGTACGTGTGCATGTGGAGGTGTGTGCGCGCATGTGAAGGTGTGTGTGTATATGGAGGTGTGCGTGTGCATATGCAGGTGTGCGTGTGCATGTGAAGGTGTGTGTGTGCAGGTGGAGGTACGTGTGTGCAGGTGGAAGTGTATGTGTGCAGGTGGAAGTGTACGTGTGCATGTGGAGGTGTGTGTGCACATGTGAAGGTGTGTGTATATGGAGGTGTGTGTGTGCATGTGGAGGTGTGTGTGGCAGGGAGGGGAGTGTATTAATCTCCTAGGGCTGCTATGACAAAGTACCACAGTCAGGGGAACTTCAAAAACAAACTTATTTTCTCATAGTTCTGGAGGCTAAAAGTCTGAGATCGAGGTGTCAGCAGAGTTCGTTTCTCCTGCGGTCTCTCTTCCTGGCTTACAGATTGCCATCTCTCTCTGTGTCTCCACATGGCCTTCCTGCAGTGCCCTGATCTCCTCTTTTAATAAGGACATCCATCATATTGGATTAGGGCCAGCTTAATGGCCTCATTTTAACTTAACTACATCTTTAAAGACCCTTTCTCCAAATATGGTCACATTCTGGGGCACTCGGGGCTTAGGACTTCAACATAGAAATGTTGAGGAGATATAAATGAGCTCATAACCGAGGGCAAGGGAGGGAATAAACATTCTCCCGGGAGGGGAGACTGCGTTAGCCTCACTGGCCTACATTTTACAGGGAAAAGTCCACGTACAAGACTGAGAAGAGGTGAGGAGTGCAGAAGTGCCTAGACAGGGGAGGGAGATAGTGAGCGAAAGGGTAGCTTAGAAGCTTTCCTTCCGGGGCCCCCCTGCTATGCTACCCTGAGCCATTTGATAAAAATCGAGGTAAAAAGAGGACTTGAGGCCAGTCTTATTCTTTCTTGTCCTAGTCCAGAGAAACAGGAGAAGATCCTCTTCTATCCAGCATCCTTTGTCATCTTTGCTCCTGCCTGCCTCCTGAAAGAGTTCACTGTTTGAGCACCAACCATGTGCTGGGCAGTAGAATAGGAATATAGAGTCAAACTCTTTGCAGACTAGATTTTGCCCCAAGCTCATTAACTCATCCCATTTGCTCCAGGGACAGCTTAATGAAGACAAACTGAAGGGGAAACTGAGATCCTTAGAAAACCAGCTATACACCTGTACCCAGGTAAGCATTCTGAAGGATACTTCCATCTCAGGAATCTAGAATTAAATGAGAAGAATGTTTTTGAACCTCAATCTTACTTTCGAGAAACACCACCAGATAGAGAATAACACACCCATTCCTACTTACCCATTTCTGGCTTGGCCATTTACACTTTAGTCTCTAATTCACTAGATCACTGTCTCCATCCTTCTTCCTCTCCCTTTCTCCCAGTATCCTTCTCTTTGCACCCTGGAGGAATCCCAGCACTAACCAGTTTGTCAGCTCCAGGGGAACCTTGAGAATACCTGACACTGTAGGGGAAGGCCCTTGGTAAAGACTCACATCACCCAGACAGCCCTTTACGCATCCTAATCTTTGAACAGATGAGTTAGATGTTATAATGAAGTCTTACAAAATTATTTTCATTCCATGGGTAACTTTTTTCTGTTTTTTCTAGCAACCCCTGGAAGAATGTAAAAGCTCTTTTACTTGGCTCTTCTGTAACACCATTTTCCAGCATTAGTAATCTCTTGATTGGCCTAATCTTGGTTTATAAGAGATAGAAAGAAATCAGCTTTCACATTTGAGAAGTGATGGATACCTGACAGGTGGGAAGATATCAAATCAGAGAATGGGGTGAAACAGGCAGAATTCTCCCATCTGGAGTTAGAGAGAGAAGACAGTCCTGGCCACATTGATGGCGTCTTACAGGGGAAGAGAGTTTATGGAGTCTATAAGTTTCTTGGTCCACAACTTTCATTTTTTCAGTATAACTTGCTTTGTCAGGACTAAATAATGCCAACCAAGTTCACAGGAGACTAATATATAATCCAGAATGCCAGTCTATTCATTTTCAATAGGGAATAACACATAACCAGTGCCCAGCATGGATGGTCATTGGATGTCCAATAACTGGGACATCCCCTACATATGACCTCAACCAGGTTAATTCCTGGATCTGGTTTTTAATGAAAGTTCCAAAACTATAAGACCCACTCAAATTTAAATCCAAAATTTCAGACAATTCCAAAGCTAAATGGAAATGATTTCATATTGATCCCTAAATTGTTGTCATCTGGTCTACTGCTTACACAGTAGGTAATCCAGAATTGACAATAAAATCTGCCTGCCTTCTCCGAAATCACAGGGCATAAAGATGAAAGAAAGGGAGAAGGCAAGACCCCCAGTGAATTTGCAAAGCTGCGCTTGTGTCTCCTTAATCCTGCAGCCAGGAGGAATTTTATAATGCAAATGTATTAATTTTAAAACATGAAGTTCATTAGGCATTGTAAAGAAGCTACAATGATTTTTTTTTAAAGCAGCAGCAGTATGCTCCCTCCCTGAAGGAGTTTACAATCCAGTATGAAAGACAGATGAGTCAATAGAGTAGAATAATAGAGGCATGCAGGGGATACTATGTGAACACCATGAACCCTAAGAAAAGCTACCTAATCCATAAGACATTGTGGGATGGGGGTAGTTGGTCAATTTATCAGAACTGATGATACTGGACTGAATCTTGAGTATTAGTAGAAGTTAACTGGCTGTAGGCAGAAGAAGCTACATGGGTAAAGGCAGAGCCCCAAAAAACAGAGTGCTGGGGGATCTGCAAACATCTCAGCTTAGGTGGAAGTAGCATGGGATGAAAGTCTAGGCGTGTAAGAGGAGCCATGACAAGGAGTTTGGATGTGATTCTTAGTATGCTGAGAATCCATGGAGAGATTTATACAGGAAGTGGCAAGATCAGATTTGCATTTTAGAAAGAACCCTCTAAATGCAGAACTGAAAAGGGACTGAAGGGAGGCAAGATTTGAAGAAAGGGAGGCTGTTGCATTAATCCACATAACACTACTACTAGAGCCTGAACTAAGGAAGCAGCAGTAGGGATAGAGAGGAGACAGATATGAGCTGTTAAGGAAATTGTCAAGGCTCAATGACCAACTGATTAGAGGGGGAGGAAGTGAGAGAGAAAATGAAGATTGACTCCCTGGTTTAGGGTTTGGAAAAGCCTGGATGGATGATGATTCTGGTCACTGAGATAGGAACCCCAAGAAAAAAGAACATGTTTAGAAAGATGAGTCCTGTTTAGACATCTTGGATTCCAAGAGCTTGCAGAAGGCCTCAGATATAATGCCCAGGAAGCCTAGGGCACTGTTTATTATGCCCTCCACTCATCTCTCATTGCCTGAGGGACTCTTCTTGCTAGCTCTACCCTAAAAGAAATGGCTCACTAGATTACTGGTATCTCTGCCTGGGGGAAGAACCAACTTCTTTTCATTTCTGTATCCCAGCTCAGGATTTGGCACACAGAAGCTCAATGTGTATTTGTTGAATTGCATCAAATTTACAGAAATACTCCCCTTGGGGAATGAAAAAAGTACTACTGGAGATGGAAGACCAGAAAAACAGCTATGAGCAGAAGGCCAAGGAGTCACTGCAGAAAGTGCTGGAGGAGAAAATGAATGCAGAGCAGCAACTACAGAGCACACAGGTATGGGGATGCCACATAGACATGGGGCTGGGGACTCCAGGCAGCTTGGGGAACAAGGGGAGCCAGCTGCACAACTCCCTGGAGCCCTCTCCTCTCTGATCTCCCTCAGCGATCCCTGGCCCTGGCAGAGCAGAAGTGTGAAGAGTGGAGGAGCCAGTATGAGGCTCTGAAGGAGGACTGGAGGACCCTTGGGACCCAGCACAGGGAGCTGGAGAGCCAACTCCACGTGCTTCAGTCCAAACTGCAGGTACCAGGCACTGGGGGTGGGGAGGGAAGACAGGGTATGGGGAGGAGGGATGGTGATGAAAGAAGCTGTTCTGGATTAGGGACTCCAAAGGCAGCTGACAGCATCTGGCTTTCAGTTCCTCAGTCACCACTACTTTGTACCAAATTCACTGTTTTGGCTCTGAAATCTAATTTTGAGTTTAGCAAGGATGTCTGCATTGCTCATGCAAATGAACTAAGCGTTCATTGGAATGACACCATCACCACCCAAATGAAAAGAACTGGCTGGAATATTCATCAGCCTACTAATGTCATCTCCCAACCCACTCTCCAAACTCCATCCCAAAAAAGCATCCAGTTCAGAATTGCCCACTGTTGGCAAAGAAAGAATGTCACTAATTTATTTACAGGTGAGTATTAACACTTTCTGCCAATGTGTATTTTAAGCAATTACATTTAGCAATTACAATTAGATTCTTGGCATCCTCAAGGGTTCCATCATCTTCAATCTGTCCTAAGCCTCAGTTTCCCCATCTCTAAAATGAGGATAATAGTACCTACATCATAAGGTGGTTCTGAGTATTAAGTAAGATGATCCATGTAAAGCACTTAGCACAATGCCTGGCACACAAAAACACTCAGTAAATATTAGCTATTATTTTGCATAGATTTATTTACCTGGTTTGGAATTTTGAGGATCCACCTCAAAAGCTGATCTTTGTAATTTTCCTGAAGCAGGGCTCAGAACAGCCCACTTGATAAGAGACAGAGTATGTGAGTCTTATCAAAGGAGTGAACCCAGCTGGTCACTCTGCGTGGTATCCACAGCTCAACCTTTGTTGTTTTCTTCTTCCCATCACCTATAAGGCAACTCCTATGAAGATTTTTGTGAGGGGTTTTTTAACTTTAAATCTTTGTGGAAAAAAAAAGACCCTAACCAAAAAAAAAACTGATACTGCCAGAAGTAGAAAAAAGAGAAAATGAAAACATCCAGAAAACTAATGACTTTGTATTCCTTAATTTGGTGATTTACCAAAGTGTCAAGACATGACTCCCACACCAATGACAACCACTTACATTTCCCCTAGAATGGCAGATTTTTTAACGTACTGGGTTTCCTAAAGCAATTCTTATTTTATATATTCTAATTTATGTACATGAATGTGTCACTTAGACCTGTCACTAGGGATGGTTTAGAAAATAAACTTACACTGCACATGCCTCAGTCCACTTCAAAACTACTGGCAAATGCCTGTAGTCCCAGCTACTCAGAAGGCTAAGATGGGAGGATTGCTTGAGCCCAAGAGGTCGAGGCTGCAATGTGCTATGATGGCACCACTGCACTCCAGTCTGGGTGACAAAGTGAGACCCCATCTCTAAAAATAAAAATAAATAAATAAAAGACGCGAGTTCCTTGTGAATATCAAAAGTCTAATCTGCTGTTATAAATATGAGGAACAAAGCAAAGGGAAGAAATAGGAAAAAAGAAAGACTTCTCTATTTTCTCATCTCCCTAACATTCCTTCTATCTCTAAAATTCCAGACTTTTCTACATTTTCCTCTTCCATGGTACCCGCCCCCCAACCTCCACCCCAACACTGACCTCCTTCTATATTGGCCCTTCCTCCTCCTTACAGGGAGCAGATAGCAGGGACTTACAGATGAACCAGGCCCTGCGATTTTTGGAAAATGAGCACCAGCAACTGCAGGCCAAGATTGAATGCCTGCAAGGGGACAGAGACCTGTGCAGCTTGGATACCCAGGACCTACAAGGTACTCTTCTCCTTGGAGGCCTTGAGTGCATGGCAGCCATGGCCAAGTGAGCTAAGAAAAAAGAAACTGAATTAAGAGAAAGGCTTCAGCCTTTTATTTGTTTGCTTGATTGGTTGATTGGCTTTATAATCTCATTTTACCTTGAGGGAGAGGCAGGACTGTTTTAATCATCCAAAATTGAAAATTAATTTCACTGTAGTAGATAGAGTATCTTGTTGTCTGAGCTCTCTTTTTTAGCCCATCCCTCTGGGCCAGATCACAGCTGCTCCCACATCAGTCACATATGTCAAGGCCACAGTCCTAATTTGAAAGGGAAAGGTCAGTTGAAACACAAGGCATAGAGAAAGTCTCTCAGTCACATCCTCTGTGTCCGCTGATAGAGAGGACTAGATAGTGTGTAAACACAAGCCTCAATGCAACCCAACATTGTTGATGCACAAAAACCTGAGGTACTTGGCTTCTGGTTTACCTCTTCAGAACTGGGACACGAAGATAGAGCAACTTCCAATAGACACACGTTAAAGACCATGACAAGACAGCATCTATTACTAATTTCCATCCTAAGTACTGAGTTCATTAAGTCTTGGGTTCCTTTATTTTGGCTTGCATTATTGCATTTTCAGATCAACTAAAAAGGTCAGAGGCAGAGAAACTCACCCTGGTGACCAGAGTACAGCAGTTGCAGGGTAAGTTCGCTTTCCAGATTCTGAAAGTCCACAGGGTTTTCCTGGGGTCCTGGCCCACAAAAGGCACCCAGAGTAGGGACTAAGGGCCCAGTCTTTGGCATATGCTCTAACTCTGTGCACTTTCAGACCCTCTTCTTGTAAAGTGAGGTCATTTACATAGCTCTCCATAAATTATGTGTTAGCCTCTGTTCTTTTTTTTCTACTGTTCTCCTTCCATGCCAATGACACCACTTACATTTCCCCTAGAACTGCAGATTTTTTTTAAATACTGGGTTTCCTAAAGCAGTTCTTATTTTATATATTCTAATTTATGTACATGAATGTGTCACATAGACCTGTCATTAGAGATGGTTTAGAAAATAAGCTTACACTATACGTGCCTCAATCCACTTCAAAACTACATATTGGGCCCAAAGAGGAAAAGGGACTTCTCAGAAGAAAAGCAGTTTCTGAAAAGCTGGAGAACCTGACTCAATTAATACAGCTGCTGGTTGCCCACCACTTTAACCTCTGACACCTGATAGAGAAGCTTCATGAAAGCAGCAATGATTATTAAGAGAGCAAAGCAACCACAGGGAAAAGGGAAAATCTTCAAGCAAAGACTTGAAGATAGAGACATGGTAGGGGGAGATATAAGGATGCTATATTCATAGCAAAGTACCACAGACTGGGTGCCTTGAAGAACAGAAATGTATTGTCTCACAGTTCTGGAGACTAGAAATCCAAGATGTCAGCAGGGTTGTTTCCTTCTGAGGGCGTTTAGGGAAAGATCTATCCCAGGGCTCTTTCCTTGGCTTTGTAGATGGCCGTCTTCTCTCTGTGTCTCTTCACATTGTCTTTCCCATGAACATATCTGTGTCCATATTTCCCCTTCTTATAAGGACACCAGTGATATTAGATTGGGGCCCACCTGAATGACCCCATTTTAACTTGATTATCTTTTAAAGAATCTATCTCCAAATAAGGTCATTATTTAAGGTACTGAGGGTTAGGACTTCAACATATATATTCTGGGGGACAAAATTCAACACACAGCAGATGGGAACATATTTAATAACCAAGGTTCTAAGCAAAGTTCTGAAAAGAAAACTTTTTGTAGTAAATATGCTAGCATAGACAAGTTCCTTGTGTTTTCCAACAGGTTTGCTTCAAAATCAATCCTTACAGCTTCAAGAACAGGAGAAACTCTTAACAAAGAAAGGTCAGCAAATTTATTACCACAAATTCTAAGATATTGCTCTTCTCTTACCTGCCTAGAGGCAGCGGGATGGACTACATGACCTCCTGGAGTCCCAGCCAGTTCTGGGAGTCTGTTAAGTCCGGGATGTGTGGGAGCTTTTTAAGGACTGATCATTGGCTCTGAGGACACTTCAACTAGTTAGCCTTCTATCTTGAGGTATATAAACTGTGAAAAAGGGTTTCTATTCTCTCTGAAAGCACATGTCTGTGTTGAACATTTCAATAAATTTATTTTGAACTCAGGATTTCATGTCAATTTTTACACACTTGATTTTCCAAATCACATCCAACTCCCCAGCCCCAAACCACATAGCAGTCCAGAGTCAACTCACTGTTAGCCCTAGAGAGTCTACTGTCCATGTTTCCTGAGAATTCACTGTGTATACAGAGGGGCAATAGCTCCTCACCTGTCCACTACACACGACCTTTTGTTTTCTCTTCACAATCATTGGGCATAATATAATAGATAAGGCAGAAATTTTTATGCTCACAGAGTATGGATAAGAACATGAAAGTCTATGGTGACACAAACTAACAACACAGCTATAACAACAATCCAAAACTTCTGACTCCTAGTCCATGCTCTTTTCACCAAGACTAAGACTGCAGGGTGGCTAAAAAACCATCTTTAACCATATGAAGATAAATTTTAGGATATGACTGCCATCTTCACAACTTTCAAATGAGGACATCAGGGAAAAGGGATTGTATTAAAGCATTTACCAAACTTATTTGACAAACTAGGAAGAATGTGACATACAACCAATGAAATTCAATTAAGAAGTATTCACTAAAACTATCTAGCACTAGATAAGACTGGGGATACAAAGAAAAGATCCCAATCTTGCCCTCAAGGAGCTCAGATTCCAGCTGTCTGTCCAAGCTTAGCAGGGGCCTACTGGAAGTTAACCTTTATGTCAGAGAATGCCATCAGTCTAGCCAAGAGCACGCCCTCCCAAGTTCCCTCCCCTCTCCCCACTCCTAGTGGTTTCACCCTCAGGGCCCTTCCTCAGAGGTGTGGGCCTCACTGTCACCAAGAATCTGGCTGCTTTTTTAGATCAGGCTTTGCCCGTGTGGAGTCCAAAGTCCTTCCCTAACGAAGTGGAGCCTGAGGGTACAGGGAAGGAGAAAGACTGGGATCTCAGAGACCAGCTGCAAAAGAAGACTTTGCAGCTCCAGGCCAAGGAAAAGGAGGTGAGAGGGTGACCTGAGATAGTGAGGGCTCATTTGCGAAATAGCAGAGAAACCTGGGAGGCAGTCAAAAAGCAGGGATTTCAAAGTTTAAGTTGTGAGTGGATAACCACAGACATTCATTTGCCTACATAAAGTGTCTGTGCTTTTGGGCTGACTTGTCAATCTTTTCCCTTCCTTATTTATACCAACTCCTATTCAAGGTTTTATTAAATGATTACCTTTTAGAAAGTCGACCAAAACTCAAACACATTTAATAAAAATATTAACTTCTCAATATGTCGTCCCACATTGAGTATCTTAAGTCTTTATATGTCTCTTAAAGAGTAAAACTCTTCCTTTGTACATACTCACAAACATACACATCCCCAGAAGTATTGATATGCAACTAGCTCCTGGGAAAGAAACTTGTACTAAGGTCACTTCTAGGTCGTTTGTTCTATAAGAACTTCATTTTTCGGTGTCTCTCATTTGCAAAGCACTTGCACGTAAAGTCATATAAAAGAACTTAAATGTATAAAATGTAATACTATAATATGCATTACTGTCAATCATTTAAATGAACACATTCCAGACAATGTAAGACAGTCAAAAGACAAACTCAAATCCCTGAGAATGGCTGGGAAGGGAAGATGGTGGTAAAAATTCCAAATGAGTGAAACTTACAAAGGGCAGTCTCCCCTGCCTGGGCTCTGTCCTAGACAGAAGTGACAGTGATGACTTTGGTGATGTTCTCCCCAGTGCAGAGAACTGCATTCAGAATTAGACAACCTCAGTGACGAGTATCTCTCCTGCCTGCGTAAGCTGCAGCACTGTCGAGAAGAGCTGAACCAGAGCCAGCAGCTGCCTCCCAGAGTAAGAGGGTCTCTCCTTCCCATAAAGCCCTGGATGATGGGACGATTCCTTCTTTAACCAAGTTTTGCACATAAAATATATCAGCCCACGCCAACAACTGGCCATCCTGTCCCACTGTGCTTGGTTTATACTATACTGACATTATGGCAACCATTGAAAAAAACACTGGCTCGTCCATCAAAGCCCAACTTTCACAGAACTCTCAATGCCAGAAGGAAAGACTTACTCTTAGCTAAAGTATGAAAGGGTGTTCTTTTAGCCGATGATAAGCATGGTGGCAAGAACAGAAGGACACAAAAGTACTGGGGAATACAAAGAAAGAATATAATTTTGCTGGGTTATTTTCCACCCTTCATTATTCATATCAGTATTTATATATCTGGTCCCTGATGGATACGGCTCCCTGGGCCAGAGAACATTGGTTAAGTGGTTTTATCCCAAGACAGGTGACAAAATGGGAGACAGAGTAAAAAGCTTTTTCTCCACCACCAACCCAGCGTTTTCCACTGGGCTAGAGTAGGAAGAAGAAAGATTTTTGCCTATATCTTTTCCAATCCACTCATGGCCACTTTCTTCTGTCTCCCTGTCCCCCTACAGAGGCAATGTGGGCGATGGCTCCCAGTGCTGATGGTGGTGATTGCTGCAGCACTGGCAGTGTTCCTGGCCAATAAAGACAACCTGATGATCTGAATAATTTGTGACAACTGCCTTGGGTGAAAATCAGAAGCAAGCAACTCAGCGAAAAACTCAGAAGGTTTGGGTACATTACAGCTTGGGTTTTCCAACTGACTTAGGATTTCTGACTTTTTATTAATTTCTTAACCTACTGTAAATAAACTTCACCTGACCAGATTGTTCCTCAGAACTCTCAGTTTATTCCTGAATGGTGTATTACATTAACAAGTATCACATATTTAAGCATACTGGTGGTCTACTCTCCTCAAATTCAGTTGGAGGCATATAAACATGCAGAAAAGCCCCCAGCCCTACTTTCCTAGCATGCAGCACCCACATAGAGCAGGTATATTTACAAGGTTACCATGCAAGAGTGTTTGGCTTGTCTTCCATCACCCTGCTTTTCCTCTATCATCTCCTTCCTTCTATCTTTTATCCAGTGAAAATGAAAACATCTCCACTAAGAGGACTTCCTAGTATAGAAATGGCAAGTATGTACTATCTACCAATTTGCTACTAGCACCACCATTACCTATTTACATGCCCTTTGCATTTGTGGCCAACTGATCTACAGCATTGTGCCTTAGTGTATTCAAGACACTTGGAATTGGCAGTTGAGATGATTATTTGCCATCCCCAACCTAGAGATGATCATTTACTGAGTACCTTCTATATGGGAGGAGAGTTAAAGTCAGAGGGCCACAGCCGGCAGTGTGACTATCTCAGAGGAGATGCTGAGATCAGCAAAGTCATTCTGAGTCCTAAATCGGGTTCTGAGGTCCTTCTCCCAGGTGTTTAGAATGTCCCTCAGGCCTGGGAACAAACTCTCTGGGACACTAAAAGAATAGAGCAGGATTGGGGGTTGACCTAGCAACCATGAGATCCGGGCAGTGAATACTCGTAGTGGAGTCAGAGCTAAGCAGTTGTCATCTCCCTGGTTCAGGTGAAAGGTATAGGGAACAGGATAGCCCAGGAGGATCCCAAATACAGTACACAGATTCCAGTCTGAGGAATGGAGCCTGCTGTAGGAGACTGCTAGAGATAAGTCCCTCTGCAGCCCCTGCAAATGTGTGATGATCTCAGCCACGAGGGCCTTCAAGTCCTGAAGCTGGTCCAGGGAGCAGACAGAAGGGTGACGCTGGCAGCTGGAAACATCCACAAAGGCTATGGTACCAAGCAGCACCTGCTCCAAGTGCTGACATACATGCTCAGGACTGACAATCAGGCTGTTTTCTCCAATCTCAAGGATGTGAAGTCCAAAAGTCAGGAAGCCAAGCCCCTTCAGCTCCTCCAGATAGCTCTGGAGCTCTGATGCCCCTGCACAGTTGCAATCATAGAGCACAGCTGGCTTCAGTCCCCGGGCCACAGCCAGCACCTCTCCAGCTAAGTGAAGGCAGATGGCTTGGGGTGGACTCCGTCTCTTTCCCATGCCAAGGGTCTGCTGAGCAGCTGCCACCAGCAGCTGAGGGCTCGGTGATGACATGAGATCTAGAAGCAACATCAAGAATGGCCTCCTTAGCTAGCCCGAGTTCCCTTCCCTGGGTGGCATCTTTCAGCCAGACACTTGAGGAGGGGCCTAGAAACAAAGCAGGAGCAGGGAATTATTAACAGCCTTCCTGTTAAATCGCGGTATCTTCCAAAGGTTATTCTGTCCCTCCCTGCTTTGAAATGGCGACCCAGCCCAGACAAGATAGTTTCACCGATGCTGCTTGATTTTTCTGGTTGACTTGGTCTCCCTCAATCATAAATTCGTGTGTTTTTCTAGCCTTATAGCTAGATTTATATTCCCTCTGGCTTTTATTCTAAATTTCACCTGTTGCAAATTACGTTCTCTGGTTCAAACCGTAGGGAATTTGGGGCAGAGGCGGAGGCGGGGCAGTGTTTGGCAAAATTCACAGCATTTCGCCCAAAAGCCCTTCTGGGACAGAGCTCCAAGTTCCAAATGTATCCTTTCCACTGACAACTCCCCTACTCTTCCCGCCAGAGAATAGTTATAAGAATAGTAATTTGATTAATATACACCAGAATGTGGACTAACAACCATCTCACCCTGACACATAAAAATGAATGAATGAAATCCACTAGAACTGCAGAAGGGTAGTATTTTAACTTCTGCTGGCCCCGCCTTCCCTTTCTGTCCGACATCAAGGACCCTCGGAAGATGAGATTTCTCCGATCCACACACCCCACACCAGAGCATGTTATAGTGATTTGCTAAATGAGGCATAAGTCTGTCTCACATACGTTCTTTTTCCACGTCCGCTACAGGTTCGGGGGCTCAGAAACTTTTTGCGGCTTCCTGCCTGCTGCCAGAAAGGCAGCTAGTCCCCCACGCCCAGCCGCAAGTAACACTGGAAAACCCGCCTGCGCTGGGAAGACCCTCGCAGCCCGCTCTGCTCCAGTCCCGCAGGCACCTTCTTGCGCATGCGCACCCACTCGAGTGCCGCCCTCTTTCCCCCCATTCCGTGACGTCATCCAGCCGCTCGCGCGCCTCGCGTTAGAATCACTAGCTAGGCAGCCTTACTGCGCGCCGGAAGTTTGGGCCACCGTGCGGCCCGCCCTTTCCGGCCAGACTGAACGCGGCCCCATCTGTCGGCTTAGGAACTGGGAAGGGCGGAAGTAAACGAGAAAAGGCGGAACCTGGTGAAACTGGTTTCCCGCTGCTGCCCTCATTTTGCTTCGCCGAACGTCCTCCCTGTGTTATGACGTCTGGTGTCCCACTTGACTGGGAATCCAGAAACAGGGCACACAGCAGTTAATAAACACCTTTGATTTGTGTCTGTGGAAATACGTTTTGTCCAGACGAAACATACCTCAAGACAACATATTTTGCAGAATAGCCTCACCTGTGGGTGGTGCTGAAACGTTTTAATTTTTTTTAACTTGACTTCCCTAAATCCTACATTTGAGAGGCCTACAACAGCTCTCTAGGGAGGGTGTGAAGGTGTGAGTATTCACTTTGAACAAATATGTGCCAGTCATGCTGCTAGGCCCTGGAGGTACTGCAGTGAGCAAAACAGACAAAACCCCCACTTTCATGGGGCTTAAGTTCATGTCTACTGAATCCAGTTTGCTGATTTCAAATAAGAAATGAGAAGTGATGACACAGAGGCTTTCCAGTCAGGTCATTACAAAGAAAAAGTGTTATTTCACGTAAGAGTTAACACCTTTTTAACTACCAGCGATTTGACCCATGCCACGAAGGGAAAGGATTTCTTGAGAAAACCCCAATATCTAAGGAAATGGCCCCAATTTATTTATACTTGGAGCAGGACAGAGATTAAGGGAACAGTGGACACCTACACTGGAGTTGTCACTCCTGGATCTATCTTGGTGGTGCCTTCAGTCCATGAAAAGTGAATTGTACAGTAAAGATGGGGTCAGCATGGGAGGAGGACCAGCTTATAGGAGTTACCAGCCTAAGGCTGTCTGGTTCTTAGCTCAGAGGGAATCAGAAGCTGAGAGTAGAAAGTAGTCTTCTAATTTTAGAACGTTTTCCTTCCCCGCATTTATTTAATTTTCCCATGGTGGTTAACAGTAAATCCCTAAAAGACTGATTTAGTTCATTCATTTATTCCAGCAACAAATATTTGAGAACACACTGTGTCCCAGACACTGTTCTAAGGACTGGCAGCGAAGTCCAAGACAAACAGTCCCTACCTTCAGCAAGTTTGCAGTCAAGCAGGATGCGGATGCTGAGCATTACAAGGGAAATGATTATTCTGAGAGAGGAAGTATGGGGTGCTATGGGAACATACAACCAGGGACCTAATTTTATGGGAAAGGGACCAGCCCAGATCCAACACTTGCTCTCCCAGTTTACCTCCAGTAGGTTCTTTTTAACTTGAACTAATCTTGTTTGGTGGGGTACACAGTGAGGAAAAAGAAGAGCTAGTGACAAAATCTAACTCCCTTCTCAGTCTTAAGCAAGGTGAAGGCAAGGGAGTAGAAGATATCAAGGGAGTGAGTGGTGGTAGCCACCAAAGGAGATAGCAGACTGAGGCCCTAAAAAAAGAAAGGAAATCTAAATCTATCCAGCAGGACCAGAGAAAGAGTGCTGAGGGTGATTAGATGGAATCCCTGCATGTACTCTCCCGGCATTCTGAAAAGAAGCCAAAACAAGGAAGAAACCGGGGTATCTAGTTAAGACCTCACAAATCACTCATCCATTCCTCTGACATGTTCATAAACTTTTTATAGTGGTTACGAACCAAAAGCTTGGCATTTCTTGGCACTTTTCCAATACCCTTTACCAGCTCACATTATCTGGGCTCCCACCCAGGCTACAGATAGCCTGGCTGTTAGCACTTCACAGAAGGGATATAGACTGGCCCAGATTCAAGAGCTGCCCTTCTAATTTACCTACAGTGGGTTTTTAACTTTGAGTTCCCACGTAGAGATGGGGCAGCCAAATATCAAGCCCAAATCCCTCACTTCACCTACTCAACAAAATGACCCCCAAAATGTAAAGTTTCTGTGCCTTTAATGCTTCCCGGTCCCTAAAAGCCCAACTTTTCCTCGAAGCTGGGCACCTGACCTTTAGCCAGGTTTCTTAATCTTTTCATGCTTTTCATAATAGCAAATTCCACTAGGTCTCTTAGAAACTCTAAAACCAAGGCTTAAGCACTTTAAATAAATAAGTCCTCATGTCACCACTGATTTTGAACTTTTAGTTTTTAAAATAAGGCTAGCTCAACTTTTGAGTCATTTTGAAAAGTTGGAGATGGCCTGGTTTAAAGGTACCAGACTAGACATGGGCTTCCTTACTATGTCCCGACACAGACAGATAGGCATCACTATTCAAGAGGACTGGGGCTTGCAACCACAGATTAGCATCTTATTTGCCATTTAGGTCCCAGATTGCTTGAGCCCAGGAGTTCAAGACCAGCCTGGGCAACATAGCAAGACCTCATCTCTACAAAAATAAAAAAAAAATTAGCCAAGCATCATAGTGCACGACTGTTGTCCCAACTACTCAGGAGGCTGGGGCAGGACGATTGCTTGAGCCCAGGAGCTTAAAGCTGCAGTAAGTGGTGACTTGCCACTGCACTCCAGCCTGGGCAACAAAGCAAGACTCTGTCTCAAAAAAGAAGAGAAAGCTGAAAGGGTTAGAGACTCAGCAGATGTTTCTAGATAAGACCAGTTTGTGACAGATACAGCTGCATTGTTCTATACCACTCTTTACCTTCACTGTTCACACTCAGATACCTCCACTAGTAAGGGAGACAAGCAGGTTCGTGCTAGGTGAGCCTTTCCAGAAGAGTACTGCCCAGCCCTTCTTCATCCCAGCCTTAACACACTCAACAACCCATTTCTTCCAACTGCAAAAAATCTAAATGATACTGTCCCTTTTGTAGTCAGAGAAGTACATCTTAGATCCCCAGCTCAGTCTAGCTCAGAGAAGAAAACAAGAAAAATAGAGCTCTTTCCTCTTAAAGCTAACACCTGAGTCACATACTGTCACCTACCCCCTCTCCCTGCCGCCCCCCCAACACACACACACTGGTATTTGAGTGGTAATAAGGTAAATGCCTGACAACCTATTCTTCCACAGAATCCCTAGGCTTTCTGTGTCAACAGCTTCCCTTTAGAAGCCAAATTTGTGAGCTTTCACTCCACAGGCTGGGTGACTTTCAGACTTTGGCACCCATTTCTATTTAGATATCAAGCATAGTTTCTAAGCAACCAGCCAGCCAGCTCCTCTCCCTCTCACTTCCCCCATCAGGGAGCCAGCTTACTATACTAGCAGAACAGGTCAAACAGAGCTCGATCCTGGACAAATCAGTGCTTGAGGAAACTTTAACAAAACCAAGGAAAAATGTGGTACAAGAACAATGCAGAAGGATTCTGTTCCAGGCAGTTTAGCCTTGTACAAGTAGAAGAAGGTCATTGAGTCCGTTCTAAAGCTGGATGCAATTTCAGGCACTACTCCAATCTCTTCACTTTATAAGCAATAAATCTGAAGCCCAGAGGTTAAAGGACTTGTTCAAGGTCACATTGGAAGCAAAGCTGCAGCTAGAACTTTGGTGTCCAAACTCCCAGGCCAAATCTCCTTCTACTATGCTATATCATACTACCATTAGGAGATTTGAAAAAGAAAAGCAAAGTCTGAAGGGTGATTTTTCCATAAATTAAATCAGCTTTAAATCTAGGCATATTTGGAGAATCACAAACTTCTAACACTGTTAGAGAAAAGAGAGATTTAAAAGCTGGTTAAATCTAAACAATAAAAAAATCCATATGTACAATATTATAAAAAAGAGAAGGAAGAAGATGGCATTCACAATTACTGGGGAGGCAGGGCAGGGGGCAGTTGCATGCTGGGGGTGGGCTGCATGGGCTGCCAGCTCTCCTGGGTTTGAAGGATGCGGTACAGCTGCTTCAGCTGAGCAACGATGTTATCCTTGATGTCTGGGGTTGAGATCTGCAGGCGGACACTGCCACTATCAAAGGATCGTGTGAAATCACCAGAAAACATCTCGTAGATCATCCGAGCCACTACTGGAATGACCTGTTCAGGACACAGAACACAGGTGTATCCTCTGAGGAAAAGGTATTTTTAAATAGCACAATGGACCCAAGATTGAAGGACAGACCAAAGAGGCCCTGAGGAAGACCCCATTCTGATGTCTAAATATAGGATATGCCTTCATCTCTCTGGACCATCCTTCTGCCAAGGCTCACTGTGGAAGTTGGTTCAAATGAAGGTAAAGAACCTAGATGTAACATTACATCACAGGCCTAAATAAATGACTGCTTACTTTGCAAGACTTTTTACAAAATATCATCTATTGCTTGCCTTGCTACACAACTCCAGGGGCAAAGCCCAAGTGGCCTTGCTGCCACTTCCTAGAATAAATTTATATTCCTAAAAGTAACTCAAAAGGTTTTTCTAAGAAAGGCTGGAAAGGGCCAGGTATCGTGGCTTACACCCATAATCCCAGCATTTTGGGAGGCTGAGACAGGAGGATCACTTAAGCCCACGAGTTCCAGACCAGCATGAGCAACATAGTGAGACCTCATCTCTGCTAAAAATAAAATTAGGCCAGGCATGGTAGCCTGTGCCTGTTGTCACAGCTACTTGGGAGGCTGAGGTGGGAGGATCACTTGAACCTGGGAGGTTGAGGCCACAGTGGGCTGAGATGGTGCCACTGCACTGCAGCCTGGGCGACACAGCAAGACCATGTCTCCAAAAAAAAAAAAAAGTGCAATTTACATTGTGTGTGTGTGTGTGTGTGTGTGTATTTGTGTGTGAAGAAAACCTGGAAAGGGTCATATCCTGTGAGGTTTCAGCAAGACTCTAAGGTTAGTAAGAGAATGAAAGATAAGATCTCCACTAAATCAATCACCCATTTTAAGGACCCTGCCTTTTCCAGCATGAGTCCTACTGCACAAACCTGAGTCTGTTACCCCATCTGATGAGACTGAAACCTACATGGGCTGATGGATGCTTGATGAGGGCTCAACCCAGACCTGGGGGCTTAAGCATTGGCAAAAAGATGAAGAGTTGTTGACACAGCCTTATCTTCTCACCTGAACCAAGATGAGTTTCCTTTCCAATGGTTTCCCATCTGGCCATTCTTCCCCAAAGCATAAGTAGATCTCAAACGGTGGCTGCTTCTCTATCTGTCCTTTCTGGTGGGCAATGAGATCTGCAGAAAGTGGAAGAGCAAGTTTGGTATACTGGGTCATTCCACATCCACTCAACAAATACCATCTTTTATGCTGTCCATTACAATAGCCACTAGCCACATGTGCTCACTAGTTTTAAATTAATTAAACAGTTCCTGGGTCACATTAGTCATATTTACATGCTCAATAGCCACATATGGCTTGTGACAACCATACTGAATAGCACAAATATATTGAACAGTACAAATTACAGAGGGTTCTCTTGGACATCATTGATCATGACTTGCAGTTCAAACCACATTGTAAAAAATTGACATCACGGTGCTTTCCCTAAAACTGCCTGCTTGAATTCACCACTCAGATAATTCCCAAAAGAATATGTGCTATTCTGAACATAACAAACAGGATTACCTTCCAAAGTTAAAGACACGCTGGTAACATTTGAGGTGTAATGACAGGGCTGTCTCCCTCTTCTGCCATTGAAGGAGCCACAACCAACTTAAAAATAGCTTCCAAGTACATAGCTTTGGAGTGAAACTCCCTTCTTTGTTGCCTAGGTCACCTCCAATTTTTAGAACCAAAGTTCTGTTCTCCCTTGACCTCCTCCAGACTAAATTTTTTAAGATCTTTGCCATGCCAGGAAAGCAGGAAGGTGAAAGACAGGGATAGTGGAAGGAATGTACTTCCAGAGAGTGATTCCCACGATCAACTTTCTGAGAAATGACTTACCGCTAAGGAATGTTTCCAGACAAAATAGCTTGACCTTCTTTTGTCTCTCAATCAGGTTGGGAGCAACAAGTGATGGGGCACATGGCCCAGACCAGTACACCTTGCACTGGCACAGCCTGATGGCATAAATGGCATGACCGCTGACCTCCAGGATCAGTCCTCTGTCCATGACGTCCAGCAGCTTGCTAGTGAACAGCTTCTGCTTCTCATTGGTAATATGCTCAGGACCTGGGAATTTGACCTGCTCCAGGCTGACGGGACCAAAGAGCTCCTCCTGGTCAGGCATGGGACCCAGGTCCCCATAGAAGAGTCGGCAGCCCTGAGGGTTGCTCACGGTCATGGTCTGCCCGTACTCCTTCCCACGGTACTGAAACTTGATGTCCAGGTCAGTCACTGCAAGGTTAGAGATGACAGTGAGAGTCCTGCTTCACTGCTCTGCCTGTTCATCCCTGTGACTCATGCAAGTCCATTAAGATCAAGCCACCTTTCAACCAGCATTCAGGAAGGCCACTGCCATAGTTATCCTTCCTGCAATAAAGGGAGACATCAACATATCCCTGGAATATTCACTCAAAAGGCTGCCTGAAAGCAAACAGTTCAAAGTCCATCTCAACTATTTCTGTTCAATCACCACACCCCAAAGGCTACAATTGCATCAAGTAAAGTGGTCCTGGTGTCCCCACGCTATACTGACTGAGTCTTCACACCAATGGTCATTGGAAGGAGCTAAAAACTAAGGTATCTTGTTTGTGTATCATTTTTAGCTTATTGTTTAAAGAAACTTGAGGAAGAAGAAGCAATACCAAACAATTTTTCTGAAAATGACATGTGAACACACACACTGGGGATCTGCTCTAATAATATACCATAAAAGGACACAGTTCACATCAAAGTTAATTTTTACTCAGCAAATCTCCATTGAACCCAATAGCCCCTATCAAAGCTACTTAGCCTCTTGGACAAAATTTTATTAATAGCACTCACATGCCTACCATATGTAGTGTGAAAGGGAGACCCAAGCAATGACATTGATTCGTCATTGAGATAAATTCGTACCAAATTCAGAAAGAGGTTTTTTTCTGTAGGTCCTAAAGCCTCTCAAAATCCAAGAGCCTCCTCTACCAAATCCATGGCCATTAACCTCCCTGTTCCACAACTGGCCTTGTCACTAAATCCCCCTGCGTGACTGATAAATCTGGGACTCCTACCCACCTAAGACCTGAATAACCTGGAGCTGGAGCTGTAACCAATCAGAGCATCCCTATGGGCAAGTAAGTGTCAGCCAATGTTTTTGTTGTTGTTGTTGTTTTAGATCATGTCTCATTCTGTCACCCAGACTGGAGTGCAATGGCATGATCAGGGCTCACTGCAGCCTCAACCTTCTGCATTCAAGTGATCCTCCCACCTCAGCCTCCCAAGTAACAGGGACCATGGGCATGCACTGCCATGCCCAGCTAATTCTTTAAAAATTTTTTTGTAGAGAGTCTCACTATGTTGCCAAGGCTATTCTCAAACTCCTGGCCTCAAGCACTCCTCCCACCTCAGCCTTCCAAAGGGCTGGGATTACAGGTGTAAGCCACCACACCCAGCTGGGCCAGTGTTTCTTTACTTCTTCCCTGGTGACTCATGGGCTAGCCAGGAAACAGAAACAGAGGATGCCTCTGAGACAGGTAGTTTTTCAATACATGGCAAAGAAATGAAGTTAGAAAGCAGGACAGGAAAGAGTCTATAATAGAAGCAGAAGACCGAGCAAGAAAGATAAAGTCTCACTTACTTGGGAGAGAGCTGATCCACAGTTCTGGAGAGCTATAGAAGGGCTGTATAGGTGCCTGGGGTACTTCCATCTCCAGGGGTTCAGTTTTGGGCCACACTGCCTCCGGGCTGCAGTTGCCCACACTGCAATTGCCCACACTGGCTGGCGCCATGGGAGAACCTAAAACAAAAGCATATGGTGAGCAGACAGGGGTACCACACGTGCACATCACTTGCTGATGCTCTGAGAACTCACAAGGTCAGTAGACAAGAACCAAACACTGAACCCTGACCCAGTGTGATCTTCCAGCCCATCAGTGATTCCCATAACTAACGCAATAAGAAATAAGGTTCCCCTGCTCCTGCTTCCTAGTCATATTATTTCTCCCACAAATTCATAGTTTTAAAAACCTTTGTTTGCTGAAGATTAACATAGACATGTGAGTTTTCTCTGGAGGTTAAATTACAAGGAGTAAGACATTCCATACTGTAAAATTTGGCCCCAGCAATTAAATAGAAGCTGGTTGTCTTCCATAAAACGAACTCAGCTAAATTAGCTGATTAGCTTCGAGTAAGTGTTAATGCATAGAAATACCTTTAACAACAAACAAATACTTTTACATGCATAAAATGTCTGGAAGGATACTCAAGAACCTAGAAGGATCTGACTCCTCCAGGGAAAGAAATGAAAGGTTCAGGGACAGGATAGAAGGAAAACCTTTCCACTGATTTACCTTTTTGTACCATTATGAATGTAAACCATGTGAAAGTATTATTTATTCAAAAGGATCCAATTAAAAGGTTTAAAAAAAGAAAAAAGAGTATTTCCCTGCTACTGTCAAAGTTGACTTGCTCCAAAGTCTACAGATTTCTCCTCCTAGCCTCACCTCTTAGGCATCTATTCTTCAACAATTCTTCATCCTCTGCCCCAACAGCTCTGAAATCACAAAGATTAATGTTTCTTTGACCCTTTTTTTTAGATCATGTCTCATTCTGTCACCCAGACTGGAGTGCAATGGCACTCTGGTTAAATTTATGGGAACTGGTTAAATTTATGTTCCCATTTTACTTTTTTGTTTTTAGTATCTATTCTACAACTTTCCAAAAAAGGATTAAAGGCAGCTCAAAACATAAGGACACACAAATATTAGCTTTAATAAAAGATCAACAGAAATAGGAAATCAGGATCCTGGAAATAAACTGCATCCTTTTAGGGGGTGAGAATAACAGAATGAGTCAGCCAGACATTTGAGAAAGGATCCCACATTTCTAGATGTTCAATTTCACTAAGCGGGAATGTAACGTGTGGCAATTTTTTGTTTGTGTTTACTTTTATTTTAGTTTCAGGGATACATGTGCAGGTTTGTTATATAGGTGAATTACATGTCCCGGGGTTTGGTATACAGATTATTTCGTCACCTAGTTAATAAGCGTAGTACCCAATAGGTAGTTTTTTTATCCTCATCCTCCTCCCACCCTCCGTCCTCAAGGAGGCCCCAGTGTCTATTGTTCCCTTCTTTGTGTCCATGTGTACTCAATGTTTAGCTCCCACTTATGAGTGGGAACACGTAGTATTTGGTTTTCTGTTCCTGTGTTTTAGTTCACTTAGGATAATGCCCTCCAGCTACATCCATGTTGCTGCAAAAGACATGATCTTACTCTTTTTTATGGCTGCATAGTATTCCATGGTATATATGTACCACGTTTTCTTTATCCAGTCCACCATTGATGGGCATTTAATTTGATTCCATGTCTTTGCTATTGTGAATAAGTACTGCAATGAACATATGGGTACATGTGTCCCTATGGTAGAACAGTTTATATTCTTTTGGGTATATACCCAATAATAGGATTGCTGGGCCAAAAGGTGATTCTGTTTCAAGTTCTTTGAGAAATCACCAAACTGCTTTCCACAGTGGCTGGACTAATTTACATTCCCACCAGCAGGATATAAGTGTTCCCTTTTTTCCATAACTTCATCAGCATCTGTTATTTTTTGACTTCAATAACAGCCATTCTGACTGGTGTGAGATGGTATTTCATTGTGGTTTCGATTTGTATTTCTCTAATGATTAGTGACATTGAACATGTGGCAATATTGACCTGCAAGATCTCTATGAAACTTCTCTTTACCCACACTTGGTTGCAAAGATATAAATGAAGGAGGGCCAGTGGACAGACAAGTGTCATTTCCTGATTCTCAAAGGTAGAGGCATCACCTACGGTAGAGTACCTGAAAATACTAAATAAATCATCTTGTTATCCTAAGTTTTATAGGTGGCACAAGTTATCTCATTTTGACCCATTGCAGCCAGGTGGTACTAAAAAGACAATGAAAAACTGCTTGGCTGGATGCAAGTCATTTGCGTAGGAGCATTTCAGTGGACAAATGAAGTAAAGATGCTGCAGAAAGAGCAATTCAACGTGTGTTCAAGTATCCTCAGAAAACGCAGTGGGAGATTCAGTACCTGCTCTGTCACACGGTGAATTCTCAAGCTCCCAACTCAATTTTCCTAGGAAGCTGGATTCAAAAGCCCATAAAAGAAAAGTCTCTTGCAGATAAATCCTATCAGAGCCAAGTACTATCAGCTACAGACATCACAAGTTTCCCGTGATACAGCCTAGGCAGAGTAGTCCTTGTGAAGGAAGTGACACAGAATTTATACCAAGGGAAATATTAGAAGAGTTTGCCCGTAACTCGAAAAAATGACACTGTACTTGGCCTGAAGGAAATTGGCAAAATGTGTAACTGATGATATATTTGTATGTTGGGTTAAGAATGAATTCAAATTTTTTATTTCTTTGAATTAGCACATAAGCTTCCAAAGATGTTCTATTGCCTGGAACCCACCCAACTCTACTGGGATAACTGAGCCAACAGGGAGTTCCTCACCTCTGACTCCCACTTGCTAACAGTCCAGCAGTCTGGCTGCAGGGACTGATCCTGCTTTCAGGGCAGTGGTGGCCAATGTATTGACAGTCCCAAGGTCAAAACTCCTTACATCCTCCATATGTCTCTGTACCACCCATCATCCCCACTCACCATTGATGTTCAGGAAGGGGAAGGTGTCCTGGATGGGAACATGGTGCTGCGACTGATCCAGCTCATCTTCCTCATCTTCTTCATCCACATCATTATCCTTCTCATCCCAGGGAGCAGACCCTGTGGATCCTACCCAAGATACACAAGCTCGCAGGTGAGCCATTCAGGTTGCACTGCCACCCCTGCAGCTGACCCACCATTCAAGCTAGGGACTGCTAGCCCAGAGGCTCCTCAGGTTCAGTACACACCCTCAATGTCCTAGCTAAAAAGAGTGAGAATCAAGGGAATGAACACTTCTCTCATGGAAGGACCTCCCTAGATTCACTGGAGCACATATCTAAATTATCTGGCTGTTAGTACTTGTTAAGTATGCAGTTAATTGGAGGGATCAGGAGATATTCTCTTAGTCAAAGTATCCTATGAATTAAACGATCAGTCACCCAATATGTATAAAGAACTTATTACCCTGATCTTGTCACTATTATATGTACCAAAACATCACTATATACCCAACGAATATGTACAATTATTATTTGTCAATTAAAAAATTTTTTTAACAGATCATGTTAATTTTTTTTTACAGATCATGTTAATTGATTCTCACACTAGCTTTTGAAGTAAATAGGAAAGCTGAGATCCCATATTTTAGAGTTGAAGAAACTGAGGCTTACAAGAGGTAAAATGACTTGATTCAAGTCCCACAAGTAGTAAAGTGATAAGGGCCAGGTTTAGAACGCAAACCTTTTAAGCTTTAATCCCTTCTCCTTCAAAACTACCTGGCCTCTTGAATCCCAAAAGAGGCTACTTTTACAGTAGAACTGTATACCCCTCCACTTTCTAATGCTTTAAGTAACCAGGTTAAAAAACATTCCCCTAAGTAAGCAAGATTTTGCTGAGTCTGCATCTTTTGTTTTCTGGGTCCTTCCCAGAGAAAGGCTTTCTTGCTTTATCCATCTTAAACTGTGTAAATCAGGCTGTTTTCAAGTTGACTATCTCTTAAGAGTGCAGCCCAGAATCTGGCATGCTGCCCACCTTCTCCCCAGCACCTGGGGCCTCACCTGGGTTAATGATCGAGCCCTGGGGCTGAGGGATGTCACACACTTGATATATCTTCACTGGGTTCATGGGCACCTCCTTGGTGCCATCATACATCAGGTTGAATTCTCTGCTCTTATTGAGAGCACAGCGCAGCTGGGCCTTCCATTTAGCTGGGTCAGGGTCATCCACCCCTTCCTGGTACTTCCCTGTCTCTACAGCCCAGGCCTGAGAACAAGAAACCACAGTGAGTCCTATCATTGCCCAGAGCCACTGCAAAGCATGTGCTTACCCTTTCTCATAGACACAAACACACACACACACACACACACACACACACACACACACACACAACTTTTGCATGACTGCCCCATCATCCCAACCCCGATTTACAGAGACTGCAGCAGGAAACACTGCCCTTAGGACCAGGCAAGACAGGTGCCTAAGGGAAATAAAGCCATGTGCAAACACAATATATTAAAAGGAGGAACCTTATCTCAAGCACTGGTACCGGCACTCATCAAGACGACAATGCTCTAATGAAGGGCTGAAGATAAAGCCTGCTGAAAATATGCACCAAAGTGCAGATGGTAACTCTGGATAGCAGAATTTCAAGTAACTTTTTTTCTTTGCTTATTCATTTTTGACATGAGTTGCTTATACGACAATAGGTAAGACAAAGAGGGATGGCAGAGGATATGAAGAGTTTGGCCTCCTGTGTTCCCTCCTGTCAGTCTTCAATCTAATACATAAATAAAGAATTGTAACCTGGGTGCAGGGGCTCATGCCTGTAATCCCAGCACTTTGGGAGGCCAAGCCGGGTGGATCACGAGGTCAGGAGTTTGAGACCAGCCTGACCAACGCGGAGAAACTCTGTCTCTACTAAAAATACAAAATTAGCCGGGCATGGTGGTGCATGCCTATTATCCCAGCTACTCGGGAGGCTGAGGCAGGAGAATCACTTGAACCCGGGAGGTGGAGATTGTAGTGAGCCAAGATCGTGCCATTGCACCCGAGCCTGGGCAACAAGAGTAAAACTTCATCTCAAAAAAAAAAAAAAAAAAAAAAAAAAGAATTGTAGAAACCAAGTGCCTTTAGGAGGGAAGGAAACACACTGGGGGTTCAGCTTGTCCCTCTGGCTGAGGGCCTCAAGTCCTAAAAAATCCACACCCCTTACCTTACCCTATCCCCTCAAACTTCTGCTTCATTAGAAACATCATGCTGTCAACCACACCAGTGGCTGGCAGCACGGACTAAAACCACTTCGACTCCTTCTCTCTGGTTTTCAAATATGGAAACTCACAGCACTTTCCCCAGACAAGAAGAAGTTAGCCTCCCTAATGAGGAAAGGAAAAATCTAAGCCGCTCAAGTCATAGACCAAGGTGCTCAGGAGCAAAGCAGGGAGTAGACACCTGGCCCTACTTTCAGCTCTAACAGGCATTCTTGTTTCTGCAATGGGATAGCCACTCTCCCCCATTGCTAACAAGTTCTCTGATCTCTTTGTGCAGGAGTACAACTTGTTCTGATGCCGAAAAAGTAGGTACCATTAGCAGACAGCTCAAGACAGGAAGCACACACCAACGTTTTCAAGCCAACAGTGTATATGATTTGTCCAAACCCAATCCCTTCCTCTGATTCTGATCATAGGCTTCTTCCTCAAGCTGAAATTGAATTTTTCTGCCCCATCCTTTGAGAGCTCTGATCTCCTTCAGTCGCCCCCTGAAGAACCTCACAGGCATGAGGAAGTTTCCTCAAAAGCTAATCTAAATCCTCCTCCTCCAATTCAGATCACTTCCTCTTACCATCTTTTCAGATTTGGGTCCCTCCATTTGATTGTGGTATGGAATGAAGAAGTTTGACAACATTCTGCTGCCCCAGGTGGCTGAGCAGACACTAGGGGGCCTAACTGCTGCTCCATTCTATCCAACCCCCTACGGGAGATTTCAACTTCACTGGTCGCTGGTATCTGGAAGGCCTATCTCCAATTACCTGGCAGTACCTGGCTGCTGCCTCCCCAAATTTTCCCTTCCATTTGTTTGATCCTCTGTGTGCCCACGCTAACTCTGGCCCCACCCAGCTGACTCGGGCTATGAAGACTTTGGCAGAGCTCTGCACATTTCTGTGGTTCCCTAAATCCCTGCTCCTCCATGGAGAGCAGCCAGACCAACCCAGAACCAGAGCCCCAGCCTTCCTGCTCACCACACAGCCATCCCCAGGACCCACCCAGATTGCACTGGGCACCCAAGGCTGATGCAGTGAAGAGCCGTATCGTTTAAGACTGGAACTTTAGAATCAAGAAAGGAGGCCAGGCGCGGTGGCTCATGCCTGTAATCCCAGCACTTTGGGAGGCTGAGGTGGGTGGATCATGAGGTCAAGAGATTGAGACCATCCTGGCCAACGTGGTGAAACCCCGTCTCTACTAAAAATACAAAAATTATCTGGGCATGGTGGTGCACACCTGTAATCCCAGCTACTTGGGAGGCTGAGGCAGGAGAATCGCTTGAACCCGGGAGGCGGAGTTTGCAGTGAGCCAAGATCGCGCCACTGCACTCCAGTCTGGGTGACAGAGCAAGACTCTGTCTCAAAAAAAAAAAAAAAAAAAAAAAGAATCAAGAAAGGAGAGCCTAGGAGGAACCATGTGGCAATCATTGTGATTTATAAACATCACTTGTTCAAACCCATTCTGAGTCTTGCTAGCAAGAGATTCTGATCACTGTGCAGGTCCTTATTTCTCTTTCTAAAGAGGAAATAATCTCTGCATTTTTATAGTGCTTTACAAATCCCTTTCCATACTTTATTTCACTTGATTCTCACAGGCAAGACTAATTTCATCCCCATTTTACCAAAGGGAGAGCTGAAGCCCAGAGAGGTTAACTTGCTCAGGGCTACACATGCAGTTGACGGTAGTAGAATTTGAGGCCAGGTCTTCCAGTTCTTGATCAGAAAGGGCAGTATAATGGGGGGTGGGATGCAGACAGAAAGTCATGGGTTCAAATCCTACCCCCACCACTTACTGGCTGTGTGACTTTGGCAAGTTATTCAGCCCCTCTAAGACTTGGCTTCTGTATCAACAACATGAAGGTAATACCTCCCTTACAGGGTTGTCACGAGAATTAAAAGAGATAATGGACACAGACACCCATTTAATGTTAGTGCCCCAGCTGCATATTCTGCTAAAGGCCATCAGAGCTTGGTATCTGTGAAAGCACCCTCCCCCTGCACTCTGCAAACAGATGCACAGATATAACTAAAACAAAGCCACCTCCCCACAGCCCAATTTTCCTCAAGCCCCAAGCATGCAAGCCCAAAGCATCACTCTCATGAGTAGGGCTTTCAGGAAATAGCCTCTTCCCCAGGGCCAGCCACTGTCAGACACTTGAACAGCAAATCCAGTTTCAGACCATGGCCACAAGAGGCCAAATGGGCCAAGATGGGCCCGTGCCCTTCTCAATGCCAACTCCAATAATTGGTGCTGGTTTATAGGTACTAACCTTATCAACTTTTATATTGTTATTTAAAATCTAAATTAAGATTTAGATTTTCTAAATACCTTCTAAGTACCTTCAGGTCAATATTCTCTCTGCCTGTCCTCTCTACACCTGACATAACTGAGTTGGGTGGGAAACATCCTAAGGATGGCTTTCTTTTGAACCCTGCGCTTACATTTTCTGCCCTTTCCCAACCCAATTTCAGCAAGGACCCAAAGCATGAATCTTGAGAGACCCACAGTAGAGACTGTATTTCACTTGTGACTTCTAGCTTATACTCAAAGAAGAAAAGGGCAAACAAAACTAACTTCTCAGTGTCTTGGGATGCAGGAACTAAAGCTACTCATGAGATGGAAGTGACCAAGAAAGAAGCTGGTGTGGAGCAGAGACGTAGCCTCCAGGGTTTCAAACCATGTGAAAACCTTTCCCACAACAAGCCTGTCCACCTACTTCTGTCTTAAGTCAAGCTTTGGTTTCACTTAAATTTTGTAAAATGCTATGTGATTAAATCTTGTTTTCAGTTAAATAAAATGACTGTCATATCAGTGCTATTTCTTATTTTTAAAACCATTTAAAAAATTAAAACTTGTAATTAAATCACCTTTGATTTTTAAGCCCCAGTTATAGATGGGGCGAAATATTTTAACTCAAAAGAAAAGCTTGCCAGGTGCAGTGGCTTATGCCTGTAATCTGAACACTCTGGGAGGCTAAGGAGGGAGGATCACTTGACCCCAGGAGTTCAAGACCAGCCTGGGCAACATGGTGAAACCCCGTCTCTACAGAAAAAATACAAAAATTAGCCAGGCGTGGTGGTGTGTGCTTATAGTTCCAGCTACGTGGGAGGTTGAGGCGGGAGGATCGCTTGAGCCTAGGAGGTCAGGGCTGCAGTGAGCTATGATCATGCCACTTGCACTCCAGCCTGGTTGACAGAGCAAGACCATATCCCACAAAAAAAGAAAAAGAAAGAAAAACTTGCTGAGAGCCCTCTATACCAATCACATAGGCTATACTGCGTGCCTGCTAACACCTGATAGTTCTGTCCTGGTCTGAGTATCCATTCCCAGGCCCAAGCAACTCTCTGCATAGCAAGAGCTCTGAGTTATTGAGGAGGAAGAGTCAACTGCTGACCCTCGCTAGCTTTTGAAACAAACACATCACTACAATCACTAATGAGAGTTTTAGCCAACCCCAGCTGGTATCCTTTGGGATGTGAGTGAGTACCTTCAATGAGTGGGAAAGAATAAACGGCTTCAACCATTGCAGACATGCCCCCAAAAGAGGAATTACTATGCCTGCTGAGTTTGGGCACCCCCATCATAAGCATTCTCTCTGTTTCACCAGAGTTTTAGATCTAGTGTATTCCCCATGCCAAAAAAAAAAAAAAAAAAAAATCCAGAAAGGTCTGATGGTAGAAGAAGTCCTTTACCTTAAAAATGGTATTTTCCTCTTCTTGTTGAGGGCTATGCCGGGTGGCATGTTTCCAGGGAATCTGGAAGCGTTTAGAGTCCCTGTGTAGCCAGATGAGCCCAGGGTAGAGGCCACTATCCACCTGGGCCACCAGCCAGGGCTTTAGCCGGACTCTGCGGGGGTGGAGGGCCATGATCTGGGGGGGTCAGAGGGAGAAATGGGAAGAGCAGAAGAATTAGGCCAGCCACTGGGAACCCTTCCCAGCCACCTTTCCCATCTACTAGAGCTACAGTTTCACTAGATTACAGCAAAGAAACTAAATATGGGAATAAGCTGTGCCAGGTGGGAAAGAAAAGAGGTTAAAAGGTCCTTTTTATTCTGATTCCAAAGCCATTTACACTTCATGCTCTAGCCAAATCAGACTTATCAGCTAAGTAGATCACATTTCTTCTATTTAAATCCTGAAGCAGAAAAATAAAAAGGTGATGTCATCCTGCTGGAACACAGTCCTTCCTGAAGCACCAAGGGCTTTGGAAGAGAAGGAAAATTGCTCTTTTCAATCTCATCTCAGGAGAGGGAAGAAAAAAGTTATGGAAACAGCAACAACTATATAAGTGAGAAGGTGACACATGTTCTCTTTTTAAACAAGACAACTAAAGGTGAATGGGAATATTTTAGAAATAAATGACACCACCATGATGAGGGAGAAGTAGATAAGGGGTAGATCCTGGACTCCAGAGTCCTCACTTACATGGAAGAGCAGGCAGTGTGTCCACAGGGATCTGAAGAGTCGGCTTGTCTTTCCCTTGACCGCTCAAAGATTCTGTATGGAGAAAAGGAGGGGTCTCAGCTGGCTATCCATACAACAATCCAGTGTCTGGGAGAAGGCTTGGGAACACTGGCGACAAAGGCTGAGAACACGTCTCCACTACTGAGTCTGGTAAAGCTCAGAAGCCCTAGAATAACCAAATACTAAAGTACTAAGAGTACTTAGAGTACTAAAAGCAGTCATGAGACAAGCTTTGCATGGCTAGGACAGCCTCCTCCCTTGGGTCTGTTTATCTCCCAGTGAAGGCTGGAGTGAACCAATTGGTTGCAGGAGCCAGCATGGGTAAAGTCTGCAATTGATTCTTGTAAAAATACATGGGCATAGCAGATAACATTCAAGAGCAGCTGGCACTCACAGCAGAAAACAAAAGCCTTCCCAGATTGGGTGACTGATAAAAAAACAGTCACTGGAGAATTGTTTGTCTGAGATGTTGTGTTTGGATTTTTTGGTGTTCTTATTTTGTTTTTACTTAAGATGAGAATGAGATGCCTGGAAAAAGAACACTCATTCAACAAATATTTGTTCATCAGCTACTGTGTGCCAAGCACGGTGTTAGTTACTAAACACTGACGCTCCATGTTCCTTCTTGAGAAACTCCACACTGGAACTTCTCAAGCCCCACAATGGCCTGAGAAGGAGGGGAAGATAAATAGGTCACCTTCATACCCAGAAAGATCCCTACCTGGACCACAGTTCTGAAACCAAACAACCTTACAGCAAAGCAGCTAAATATGGGAATAAACTGTGCCAGGTGGGAAAGAAAAGAGGTTAAAAGGGTCAGCTGAAGGCTCCTACTCAGAAGAGCTTAGCTGACGGGGTGGCCCATAACACCACTTCTCTCCCCAGCCAGACTCCCAACAAATGTGAAAAACCCAAACCCAACTCAGCGTCTGGCACTTTAAGAGCAAGGCAAGACCTGCTCTCACCTGAGCTTTCTGACCCAATTACCAAGTCCTGCAACTGAAACCTTCCCCCTGGGAGCATAGTGGGTAGGTCAGGTTGGCACGCAGTGTTCAAGTACCCCCATGTAGTTGGCCTTGAATTACGGTGTTTTGTAGGGCAGCATGTGAAACCATCAAACCATGGAGTGCATTATAAGCCTTATAAGGAGGAGGGGATGCATATTCTCTCAACGGCTAGTTCTACCTTCTGCTCCCCAGTCCTATCACTACTGAAAGGGGGATGGAGCAAGAGAAGGAAAAAGAGGATAGGGAAATAGGCACCAAACCAGTCAATCTAGTAAAGAGCTTTTGAGAATTTCCATTGCAATACTGGTAAGTGCTGTGTTTGGGCCTGTCAGACATTAAAATCCAACTCTTGACTGATAGTGGACTGGAAGAAAAGTCCAAAAGGACTTATTGTAGTTGATCCAAATCCCACCATGCAAAAATTAAGGCAATCAGGCCAAGACCAGGAGCTGCACCTGATGATGGGAAAGGAGAAGCAGCCACCCACAGAAATCAGTGATTAAGATCTAGAGCCCTGGGTTCTCAGTGTTCTCCTAAGATGGGACTACACAAGAGCAGCCTTGCCTCAGCCCCATGGAAGGAGCCCCAGCCTGCCCTCCTCCAAGCCCATGCCCTGCCTCTCTCACTGTAAACCCTCTCCACCTTCTGAAAGTCAGCCAAGATCTCCCCCACTCACCACCCAGTAACTACAAGTCTAAAAACAGGCAGAGATGGAACAATTGAAAACCCAAATGGCCAAGACAGAAACATTCATTACGTCACAACCACAGGCTGCAATATTAAGTAGCCATTAACAACAGGTGTCAGAATTTGTATTATACTCAAGGAAATGTTTACAATATGAAGTTGTGGGGGCAGGGGGAAACAGCATACAACTTGACTGTGTAGCACTATCTCCATCTTGTAACACAGCATATACTTGCATACATGTGCACATACACACAGAACTGAAAAAAGGAAATAAATACAACAATGCAACAAAATATTTGTAATGGTTATCTAGTGATGCAACTATGGGTGCTTTTTACATTCTCCCATATACATTATATATGATTCATATTTTCCTACAATGATATGTTTCAATTTATAATTTAAAAAACTACAAGTAATTTTTTCTTAACCTCAGGACAATAAGACATTTCTTATGAAGGATGGTAACAACAATCCTTTGTATCTGTGTAGGCTTTACAATTTTTACATGAACCTTTACCTAACATGTCTGATTTCATCCTCATAAACCTGAATGTGATATTACTATCCCCATTTTACATCTGGGCTGAGGTGCTTTATTTCCTAAGTCACAGTGTTCTGTACCAAACCCTGCCACTGCACCTTGTCTTCCATGTCCCTCTCATCTTCTGCGCACCAAGAAAGTAAACTAAAAACATCAACAAAGATCCCAGCAGCATAGAGGGCCAATAAAGTGATTGAGGTGGAGACTGCATAACATCCACTCTCAAACACACCTAAATCAGAGTTCTCTTTCTAAACACTCTTGCCACCCAAATCCCAACGCCTGAAGAACCACCTTAGCCTAGTTGAACTCATCTTGGTATCTCTAGCTGCCATCACAGCAAAATGTAAGGCCTGTGTCTCTAACAGGTACTTAAACAGCCAAAGGACAATGATGCTAACCTATCTATTCCCCTCACAGTGAGCATAGAGGAGGGACACTTTCAGCCTCCTCCGAGCATAACTGTCCTCTCCCATACCCCTATTCTAGGGAGCAGGTCCTCCATAAACACCCTCATTGCCACCTCCATAGCTCCTCCCCAGACTAGTTTCCAGGGGCACTGCCACACAAAAGCCGAGATTTGGCCGTCAGTGGTTTTGCTCAGGTTAAAACACACGCCATTTCTCGCAGACAATTCTTAGCAGTCCCAGCTCTTCCCTTTCTCCTGAAAGAAATGAAATGCCATCGTCTAAGTTCCGTTCCTCAGGCTTCCCTGTTTAGCCCTGCTTAGGGGTAAACTGCAGGCCTCTAGTCAAAATGCCCACACCCTTCCCTTCTGCTGGATGGAAGCTGGGGGATGGCGAATGGGAGTTACAAGGTATTGAGTGCCACTGTCATACATCATACACACGTCTCATCCTAAACCACACTCCTGGGTCAACACCAGCTTTCACCAATCCCACCCAAGCGCCTTCCTCTCTCTATCCATCTCTTTTCCCTGACTTCCACTCTTGACATCCACCAAGAGAACAGGTTGGAACAGGATGACCCCTTTACCACAAAGCAGGCTCCCTGTAAAGAGTGACACCTCAGGCCTCCTTTCCAAGTCAGGCCTGGGAGACTTTCCCCATTCTCCACACCACCCTCCAGCCCCTTCGGGCAAAGAGGGCCCACCCCCAGAGCAACCACACCCCAGCGCCACCCTCCCCAGCACCTAGCTCCGCTCCTTGGAAATCCAAGGTTGTCTCCCAGGCCCAGGGCGAAGGGCCTAACTGTGCCAAACAGACTCAGGGAGGGAAGACAAACCGCCAATGCTCCAAAGCTCCTGGCCACCCTCACTCCAGTTTCCCAAAACGCCCACTAGGATCAAGGACCTGCGGACCTGGGAAGTCCCCTCTCTGGGACACAGGGGCCAGCCGCAAGTTGGTAAGACTGAAGGGGGCGCGGTGCTTTAGCTCTACCGGATAGTGGGGTTGTTGACGGCCGAGAGCAGTGCCCTCCGCTTCGGCGGTGGGGGTAGGGAGAGTAGACACAAGTGTAGATTCGAGAGGGGCCTAGCGCTACAGAACTGAGGCCGCCCCAAAGCTATCTGGAAAAGGGCGACAGGCACCCAGCCCCAGTGGGTACCCACCCCAAACACACAGATGCCCCCAAGCAAGTTCTCTCACCCCCTACAAACTCCGGGGATGGGTCCTACCCCACCCACGGGGGAGCCTCTCCTCCCTCAAGCTGGTCCCCAGAAGTTGGCGTACCCACCTTTGCTCAATCTGTCCACCAGAAGCGGACGTCCCTCCGAACCAAGTCCGCAGCGAAGATCACCCGTCGCTACCACGCTCCTCGACGTCTTAGCCAAGGGGCGCCTGGCTCTACCCAAGTAGGGACTGCAGGTTCCTCTCCCCGTCCCGCACCAGCCCTTACCTGCCCAGCCCAGGTGCGCCGAGCTCACGTCAGCGCCTCGCCCCAGGACGCCGCAGCCTTCGCATCCGCCCGGCCACGCCTCCCAGGTGTGGCCACGCCCCCCGGCGTTCGGGATTGGCGAGTTGCAAGAAATATGACACTCCGCGTTTCTGGGCTGCCCGGCCCAGCGGCGTCCGTCCAGCGTCCCACCCTACTCCTCCGCTTCTAACTCCGGCTAAGAAAGTCCCAGATTCAGGCCTAGCCTTACGGCTCAGGGCTGGTGGTCCTGGGAACTGGAAGCGACTGGGAGTTCAGATCTAAGTCGAGAGGGTGCCTCCCTCCTTCACGGCCCATAATTACCCTGCAGTATGCAGACAGTTAAGCACAAATAAGGGTTTTGAGATTCTGGGTTGGCCCTACTACTCGTGGGCCTGTGTAAGTGGAGTTGCACATGAAGAAGAGAACCAGGACACTTGGTCCTGTCTGGGAGAAGCCATAGGCTTTCAGGACTAGAATTCTACCTTTACTCTGCCTCTTACCCGTGTGACCCTGGGTAAGTTACTTAGCTTCTTGGCTTCTTGGTTTCAGTTTCCTCATCTCTTCAATGAGAATAATAATTCCTTCCTTCTTTTTTGTTGTTGTTTGCTTTTTTCTCTTTCTTTTTTCTTCCTTTTTTTTTTTTTTTTTTTTTGGAGATGGGGTCTTGCTATTAAGTTACACAGTCTGGTCTGCAACACCTGGGCTCAAGGGATCCGCCTCAGCCTCGCAAAGTGCTGGGATTACAGGCACTGGCACCCAGTTCAATTCCTTTTTTTTTTTTTTTTTTTTTTTTTAGGCAGGGTCTGGCTCTGTCATCCAGGCTAGAATGCAGTGGCACAATCATAGCTCAACCTCCTGGGCTCAAGCAATTATCCCACCTCACCCTCCCAAGTAACTGGAAATATAGGCATGGGTCACCATGCCCGGCTAATTTTTTTTTTTTTTTTTTAGAGACAGGGTCTGACTATGTTGCCCAGACTGGAGTTCCTGCTTCCTCTGATCACTATCGTGTAATGAGTAAAAGCATAGCCTCTGGAGCCAACTATTGGGGTTTAGACCCCAACTCCATCAGTTACTACAGACTTGGGAAAGTTTCTTAAGCTTTTTAGGCCCTGGTGTCTTATCTGTAGAAAGAGGTTAGTAATAGTACCTACCTCAGGGGTATTGTGGGAATTCAATAACTACATGTAAACTGCTTGCAACAATATTTAGCACTTATCAAGTGCTTTATATGTACTTGCAATTATTATTGGCATAAAGATTAAAAATACCATATAGACAGTGCGTCAGAGAACAAGAAGGCATTCCTTGTTATTACCTGAAATTCAAGTCCTGCATGTACCCTAACAGGTGCTTGATGAGATTGCCCTCACCTTCCTCATCTATCTAGAGGACCGGTTTGCAGGAGGCTGTGCAACAGTAAATGAGACTTTTAAAAATCCCCCACCCTCAACCACTGAGCTGTCGTAGGTGAAATGGGGCATGCGCAGGTCACTTAGGTTTTGGTGTTTAAAGTAATGAGTGAGAAACTGTGGAGGAGTGGTACAATGAGTTGAACTGTCACCCACATACAAAAAAATTTGTATTTGTATTTTGAAGTCCTGACCACCCCCACTGCAACCACAGCCAGATGTCAGAATATGACCTTATTGGGAGACAGGATCCTTATGGAGGTAATCAAGTTAAAACGTGGTTATTAGGGTGAGCCTGAATCCAATATGAATGGTGTCCTTATAAAAGGAGGAGATTTGGACACAGAGGCAGATACCCACAGAGGGAAGGTGATATGAAGAGACATAAAGAGAAGACAGCTAGCTGCAACCCAAGGAGAGATACCTGGAATAGAGCTCTTTTTTTTTTTTTTTTTTTCACATCCCTCAGACCCTTGATTTTAGACTTTTAAACTCCAGAACTATGAAACAAAAAATTTCTGTTGTTCAAGCCACCCACTCTGAGGTACATTGTTATGGTAGCCCTAGCATACTCATACAAGTGTGTTGAAGAGCCCCAGATTGATAATAATGTAGGCATGATTCCAAGTCCCAATTTAGCTTTGGAATGTAGCCAGCAAAGGCCTGGGAAGGCAGCAAGGCCCCAAGGCCTGACTCAGCCAGCCTCTGTCTCAACCACTGCCCTGTGGCCACTCTTCCCTTCACTGGGGGAAGGGCAAGCTCATCAGCACAGCTAGCTGTTTACTGCTGATGAGCTCACTAGACAAACAGCATCTTCCATCTGGCCCAGGGCTGGGCTCTGGGGACCAAACAAGCTCCACTGCAGGTGTATGAGAGGGATGAGGGGTAAGGCCATTGGGAGAGTGTCATTTGAGGGGAGTCAAAACCCCAGTGGCATACAAGTATGAGCCCACACACAGGCACTCACTTTTGCACCAGCTGAAATTCCCATGACTAAGGGGATGTCTTAAGGACCTTCTTTAGAAGACATATATTTTGGAATCAGAAAACTCAAGCTGGGAGGGTTCTTCTGGACTATCTAGATCAAGACTAAAACTGACTTAGCCAGTTTTTACCCACACAGTATTTTAAATATCAGGAGGTATCACATAAACATCAAAATTCTCAGCATCTCTTAAAGAGTCAAGTGCCCTGGATGCTCTACCAGCAGTTCTACCTGGCAACAGTTGCCCATTTAGAGGGAGTCTACACGTTACAGCCAATACAAACTCACTCTATTGAGCTCACTAATTTACTTTAATTGCCTGACCCTGTAGGCATCTGATTGCAACTTCTAGTCTAAATTCTCCCTTTTCATAGATGAGAAAACTGCGGCCCAGCGAGGTCAAGTGATTTACTCAAGGTCACATGGCATATTAGCCACAAACCAAGACTAGAACACAAACCCGGGGCTCTATCCACTTGGACCCCTGCTCAGCTCCGCAGCCAAAGTCTATTCTGACCTGTTCTGCACTGGCTGTTAACGATTTAAAAAAAAAAATCGCCAGGTGCAATCGCTCACACCTGTAATCCCAGCACTTTGAGAGGCTGAGGCGGGCAGATCACCTGAGGTCAGGAGCTGGAGACCGGACCGACCAATATGGTCAACTCTACTAAAAATACAAAATTAGCCAGGCTTGGTGGCGCATGCCTGTAATCCCAGCTACTCGGGAGGCTGAGGCAGGAGAATTGCCTGAACCCAGGAAGTGGAGGTTGCGGTGAGCCGAGATTGCACAATTGCACTCCAGCCTGAGCAACAAGAGGGAAACTCCATCTCAAAAAAAAAAAAAAAAAAAATCACCCATGGATCTAGGTACTGTTGATATTGTTGATATTGCCATAAACAAAACCAAGTCCCTACTCTCATGTCACTCAACTGAAGAATTAATGAAAGGGGGTAAAGCAGGTGGAATTAAGGTAGAGATCAGGAGGAACTCCCCGGCTCTGCAGGCAACAAGCCCTGACAATAGGCCACCCTGATGTCTTCTATTCTGATACACGCCTCATCTGCTTGATCTGGGGAATAAGAACATCTTGTGAGTCTTTCCACAAGCTCTTGAGGAATCAGTTCTTCTGTATTCTCAAAAGAGCCTCTTCAGGATTCAGTCATTCCCAACATGCCCTGGGCCTGCAATGCTCCCATCATTTTGCCCTCCATTGATAATCAGGTGCGGCATTGCTGACTCACTAGTGAGTCTGAGTTTCAGGTAGTGGGACGTACATTTCAGCACGGGGGCCCTGATTCACAGCCACAGGGAATGAGGGAATTCCCCTCTCCTGTTCCCAGTCAGCTCTCATTTGGTAGGAAAGAGTTTCTTTTTCCACCCAGAGACTTTAAACTCTACAATATCAGACATGTGACAATAAAACCATGAACCCAAATCCCACTCTCTTCTTGGCAGAGCAGAAAGCGTGGCAACTGGGACTCCTCCCAAAGGCTCCATACAGTGGAGAGTTTAGTGTTACTGGAGTTGGTGATAGCAAAGAAGCTGTGCACCTTTGGTGGAGTTGCTAAAGAGTCAGGTAGGGACATTGCACTAAACAATCCAATTCTGTGCTTTCAAAGGAAATCAGACTCCAACCTTCCTTCTGGAAGGCATTCTGGAGCCCATCAGGTCTACCCTCACTTTTCTCTTGGCCCTGGCTTATCTCTGTCTCCATCCAAGTATCTTAAAGCATCAGGGCCACAGGTGATCCTAACACATTGCCTAAGCCACAGCCTAAACTGAATGCACTCTGGTTGTTGCACTCTATAATGGCCTCCAAATTCTAGAATCACCAAGATGGCAGGAAGCATAAAAGAATCTCACTTTCCAATCCAAGCAATGGCACAGACTTTGGCTTTGGACTCTAGAAGAATTCTCCACCAAAGTGTTCAGAACATCTTCTGAGTCTTTCCATAGTTAGAAGACCCTTTTTATCCTTGAAGCAAGCTGAGCACTGGAAAGTGTTCTCAAAGAAGCAGTTTTTTTTATTCCAAACTTGGATCTCTATGGGAGGCGAAGGAGGAAAAGCAAAGCCCAGGAAATTATTTGGAAGTAAGCTCCCCCTTGGGGCCCTCCCTTCATTCTTCTGCCCATTCATTCCAAAGCTTGAGGGTCCACTTCCCATCTTCCCCAGCATGGAGAGCTTTCTCATTGGCTCTGCAGACAAAAGAGCTGAAGAAACTACAACCACCATGAATGTGAGAGTTCAGAGTTCTGATTCAAAGCTGCTTCCCCATTGAGACAAAACAGTGGCCGGATTTTGGCTTCATGGTCAGCACCAAACAACCTATCCTGTGACTCTATGCTGCTTTGAAATGAGATAGTGGATATGGACGCTCTCTGAAACAGGTGGAGTGCTGTGCAGATGGAGCGACCATCACTGCTGTTATCTGCTCTTTGTTTCCTTTGTGTAGATAATTCTCTCCAGGCTTCAGTCAAGCCCTAAGGGCAGCAAGGTGCAGGCCAGACAGGAACTAGCAGAGTGTTAGGCTCAGTTTGAGCTACAGAGCACTGGACAATGTGTCGATTTCAGAAAATGAAGACTCCAGGAGTACAGAATCTTCGGGGAGCAGTGTGGCAAGAAGCTGGATTCCTGTTCAATATGAGTGATTAACCAAATGTGCTTTTCTCTTCTCCCACCCCCCACCACCCCAGATCACCTCAGGTGATCAATGACAGTGAAGGAATTTTTTTAAAACATATTAATCTATAAGGTTAAGAGATGACAAAAAGCATGAGAGTCGAGATAAGAATGGATGAGAGAGCTCAACAAAAATAATAGGAGACAAAATATTATTTCAACAAAAATAGGATGTGTGTGGGGGCTGATGATTTGGTTATAAAGCTTTCAGTCCTATTTGGTTAAATCTTAAAGCAGATTTATATACTATTTAACGAAAATATTATCATTACTTGTTTTCAAGAAAGAAGAAAGAGCACTTGGGGAGTCAGGAGACCTGGGTGTCAGACTATTCTCTGGCACTCCATGACAGCAGAGCTGCATCAGAAAAACTAACTGTGATTTGGAATGAGTCAAAATTTGTCTCCAGTTTCCCGTCTCTCATTTCCTAACTGTCCAGGCAGTCTGAGCCTCAGTTTACTCACCTCCTAAATGAGAATGCTGCCTATTTCATGGGATTGACAATAGGATTCAATGAAATAAATAAAACAATACCACATCTTAGAAAATATCATTCTTCTCTATTGCTGCATCCCCCTCCCCAACTCTAGGCAAGGATGTGGCACAGTTCAGGGCACCTGGTATTCACTTAATTAAAACCTGCAGTGTTACTGTGTATTTGTTCTTGGGACAGCGAGGACACAAAGTATCTCTTCTCTGCTGATTGGATTAAGAGCAAGGCCCAAGTGTGACTCTCAGAGCCTAGTGAAGAATTCCCTTGAGGAGATATGGCTAAGGGACAGGGAAGACAGGGTAGAAACCAGAAGTTCTTTGACCAAGTAGCAGCCCCACCCTTCACCCCTCCACTGTCAGAATGTTCTCTTCATGTAGTCCAATGCTCAGCCTCAACCTATACTGGCCTCCTATCCAATTACCCTGGCCTTCTGTGGAAAAAGGTAAAGATGGTTTCCATGGGGAGTTCCACTCTCTTGAGTGGCTCTGGACTGGCCAGGGAAGGCCTAAGGACTACCTGCCACACTAATTTCTCCACATTGCCTAAAATTCCAGTTGCATAACATTCAAAAAGGTGATTCTATCTGGTCCCTGCCCCAGACACTGACAGCCTAAACCCCACCTCAATTTCTACAGCTTGAATCTCAGCTTTGTCCAAGCTAAGCTTGGGCCTAAGAAGTGGCTAGATGCTACAGAGGGTTAGCCCAGTCAAAGAAGAAAGGGGAGATGTATATATAAATAAGAGATTTTCAATAACAATCTCATGTAACCCCTGACCAGGAGAGCCCCAAAGTCAGGAGCAAATAGGATTTTGGTTTTTCTAAGACAGACCAAGACCAGGGCCCTGGGTCTACCTGACATGAGACACAAACATCATTCCTTCATTCACCCTTCAGTAAATCTTTATTGAGCACTATACACCAGAAGAATCCCCACCCTTTTGAAACATATTGTCTCCTGTTCCTATGAAAGCCTTCTGTTTAAACTTTCACATATGTGCCCTTCTGCTATAGTGACTACCTCCCAACTCCCAGCTTTCAGCCCCACTCCAATCTATTCTACAGCCCTCTGTGAGCTCCAGTCCCATCACTGTCCTGCTCAAAAACATTCTGTGATTTCCTAATGCTTACTGAATCAAGAAAGCTTATTCCCTCATCCAACAAATGCTTATTGTTTATCTACTATGTGCCAAATTTCTGTTCTAGGTGCTGGGGACACAGCAGTGAGCAAGACAGACAAAAATTTCTGCCCTCGTGGTGCTTATATTCTAGCTGGGGAGACAGGCAATAAACAAGTAAAGTATGTAAGTCCATGGCAAGTTCTAAGAAGGACAAGGGGGCAACTGAAAAAGATTAGGAGGGGGTGGAGTGGATCCAAATTTTACGTGGACTAACCAGGGAGAAGATGACATTTGAGTAGAGCGCTAAGAATGTGATGGAGTCAAGTGGGTATCAGAGGGAAGATTATTCCAGAAAGAGGGCCCGGCAAGTAAAAAGCCCCAGGGCAGGAATATACTTGCCCCACTAAAGGACCAGCAGGGAGGCCAGTGTGGCTGGGGCAAGGGGAGAGTTGGAGGTGGGGCATATGAGGTCTGAGAGGTAACAACTTTTACTCTGAGAGTAAGCGGGAGTCACTGGAGGCTTTTGAGCAGAGGAGTGACGTAGGTAACTTGTTTTGCACAATTAATCTGGCTGCTGTGCTTAAGCTAGAAGGTAGAAAAAGGTCAGGCAGAGAGAGACCAGTTAGAAGGCCCCTCTCTGGCCCTAGCCTACTTTTCCAACCATATCTTCTACCATTTTGCTACCCTTCAACCATAATAAATTTGTCTTCCTTGAATATGCTTTGCATCTGCTGATCTACCATCTTTAATGAAGTTGCCTCCATTTGGAATATTAATAACAACAGCTGGAACAATAGCTACTGCTTAATAAGCATTAATGACCATTCAAACACTTTTCATGGTTATCTAAGTTCATTTACAGACATCTTTTTTAATGTTCATATTTTGTTCCCATTTATTGAGAAAGCTGAGGCTTTTTACAAATTGTGACCAGCTGGAGGGCCCCGTGCCCAATCAAACATAGGATGTAGAGCCATTGATGGCCTTTTGGTCTCAAGTGGACCATTTCCATCTTTGAGGATCTTCACATGACCCTCTGAGTATTTTCTCAGCAGAAGTCTTCACAAAAGGAGAGGGGAATGTTTAAGATGATCCTTAAAGTTCAGTAACCATTTTCTAGATAGAAAAGGAGAACCAAAAAAAGCATTTCAGGCAAAGAGGATAATATTATAATAGTTCAGCAGTACCTCATGGGATAGTCAGGAAACTGCAGTTTGCTGAAGTGTAGCATTTGCAGGGATCGATTAGGCAGGAAACAGAACTGGAAGGAAGGCCTTGAATGTGACATCAAAGAGTTGGACTTTCTCCTCTTTACAGTGAGGGGCATTGAAAAGTTTTGGGTAAAAAAACAAAAATATTGTTTAGGTTGGGCAAGGTAAGAGTGTCTAGAAATGGTGAGGACTGTGGCTACCTGGAAAGCGTGCTTTCTTTCTAAAAGAAGCAGCCACTAAGCTCTGGCTGACGGCTGCCGGACAGAAATACAGGTCCAATGTTGCCACTGGGAAATCTAGATTTTTTATGTAAAATCTACTAATTTTTTATACATTTGCATTTTTTAACTTTTAATTACATGAGCCATATAAAACACCCCACAGGAGCTGCCATTTGGGGGCTTCTTTCCTGGAGTATGAATTAGCTCCAAGAGGACAGAGGCTTTGTCTGTGCTACTGTGTTCTCAGGGCCTCTCACACACTAGGTGTTCAACGTATCTTTGCTAAATGCATGTGTGTGGGTTAGTGATAGCATTTCTATTTTATTCTTGAGGAAACTAAGGCCCATAAAGGATAATCCCCAGGATCACATGAGAAGTGGTCAAGCTCAAGTTCAAGTCCAAATCCCTGAACTTCGAAATAGGCAAGTGGATTTGCAAGAGACATAGAATAAGAGTAGGAAGAGTGCTTCATCAGACCCTTCTATCGCCCCCTATCCCAGGGCTGCTCCCACATGTTACCAATGTCCTGTGCATGACTCCACCCGGTTTTCAATCCCCTGGGAAACTTTTGATCCTTCTGAGACTGTTTTACCCCTCTTATTTTGTTCAGGCCCAAGAATCAGAGACAAGGCTGCCTACACACCACCTGTCCCTCCCCAGCACAATGACATCTGCATACTATTGAGCTGCTGCTAGCAGTAGCAGTTTCTCCTGGGCCTTTCGAATCCAAAGAAGGACCCATCAAGACTACGCTGGCCAGGTGCCTTGCCAGCTTAATTCCCTGGGGTAGCCAGGAAGCTTCAAAGCTCTTGTCTGCTCTAGTTCACTATTTACAAAACACTATGAGAAGAGCTGGGCACAGCTGCTGCAGAATAGAAATGGAAGGTGGTAGGGAAACAGTAGACCTAGCAAAGGGGTATTTGAGGAAATACAGTACCAGCACTGGAGGCTTCTAAAATAAGAGTCAGTCCTTTGAGTGGAAATGGCCAAAGTAAATAAATAAATAAATGTTTTTAAAAGTAAAATAAGAGTCATAATTTCTACTAAGTCCTACTCAGTTGAAATAAAATAGATACTTCCTTTCTTCCTCCCTTCCTTTCTCTCTTCCTCTAGTTAGCCAGTTACTCAATAAACATTTAATAAAGAACTTCAGTGTTCCACATTCTTCATAACTGCCAGGTAATGATTTAAATGGTGCCCATGAGCTAAGTGTATGATACTTAATTCATGCACTTCTGATTTATTAAGAAAGGAGAAGGAGGGAAGGAAACACTAGCATGTTTTACCAACTATGGCTATTCACAGGGGGAATGTTGTTATTGTTCTTGTTCCCCAATACAAATCTAAGAGTAATTTACCTATGTTAGCTTTTCTGGAATTGTTCCAGAATCTTGCGCTTTGAAGGAAAAGTTGTGGCTGCGTATTCTGCCCCTCTCTGTTTGGAAATCCCCTGCACAGCTTTGCCAGCTACTCAGCTTGGTTCATCAGGGGATTTTTTAAAAATTTAGTTTTTAAGAGTTTTATCCAAGGTCTCAAAGCTGGTAAATGGTGAGTAGGAAGTTGATTCTGCCCGATCTGTCTGACTCCATGCCCTTTCTATTAGGTCATGAAGGGGAACCTGAGGATTGGAGCTTTGGAATGTTAATCTTACCCAAAGGCCTGAAGTAATACCCCAGAATGTGAACATGTGTGACCATCTGCCTGTCCTGGGGGTGGGAAGAAGGCAGCATGCTCTATCCTTGACCCTGATTGAGCCCAGGGGCTGAATCTGGAGCTTTGGGGCCTGGGAACCTCTCTACCTGCGTCAATGTCTGGAGGCCCTGAGAGTTTCGCTCAGGCTCAGAGCAGGCATCGCAACCTCCCAGTTACTATTCTGTGCTGTGGCAAGTGCCAGCTTGTCCTCTCTTCCCCACCCAGCCCGGGAAACCGGCAGCATTTCTAGTTCAGGCCCAGACCCGTCCTGGCAGCCTGGATTCCACTGCCTAGGCAGGAAGCTCATCTCAGCCCAGTGACCTTTTCTCTCTGTTTTTTGTCACAGAGGAATTTCCATGCCAGCAGTATGGGGCAATGGGGGTGGGTGGCCAAAGGTTTCCCCCTTAAGCCACAAGAGCCATGGAGTGGAGGTAAGCTAAGCAAACAGAGGAGGAAGGATGGGAGGGAAGGATCAGGAAGATTTAGAGAGTCCATTCCTCAGGCTGCTTCATCCTCAAATTCCAAGGTAAATAAAGGTGTTGGGAAGGATGCACTATATGTCCAGCTGCCCAGCCCTGAAGATCCTCCCCCTAGAGAACTGAGACAGGAGTTTTCTCACATTCCCACATGCAGGAGGGAAAGAGGCTGGGCCTGGGCAGGTCTAGAGAGTTCTGTTCCCCTGCCCCAGGGGAACACGCCTAGGCTTGCTGACCTCTCAGGTAGGAGTCTGTCAGGTTGGAAGCTGGGCCTCTCATTGTGTGTGTGTGTGTGTGTGTGTGTGTGAGAGAGAGAGACACGTGTGTGTGTGTGTGTGTGTGAGAGAGAGAGACACGTGTGTGTGTGTGTGTGTGTGAGAGAGAGAGACACGTGTGTGTGTGTGTGTGTGTGTGTGTGTGTGTGTGTGTGTGTGTGTGTATTGGGGGAGAGAAGCATATAGGATAGGGTGGCCAGATTTAGCAAATAAAAATACAAGATGCCCAGTTAAATGTGAATTTCAGATAAACAATGAATACATGAATACACTAAACAATTATTTGTTGTTTATCTGAAATTCACATTTAACTGGGGATCCTTGATTTTACTGGCAATCCCAATAAAGGGAGTCGGGGCTTGAGGGAACTGGACTGAGGCTGGCACGCCCATTCCTTTGCCTCTCTGATTTCAGTGAGGTAGGGCTAATTCCCAGACATATACCCCTGCCTTGACCTGCTCCTAACCTTGAAGCCAGAGAATCCCTTAGACATTGGCTTTTCAGGGCATACACGGGCCCCAACCCACATAGCTAGGGCTCCTTTGACTTCAGTTCTCAAACTCCAGAGACTTTCATGACAACTGTTAATGCTCCATCCTGGAGCCCCTTTGAAGATGAAAAGCTCTCCTGAGAAGTGGAGTGCTCTGTTGTTGTAATTAACATAATTAAAAGCAATTTGTCTCATAGTCCCATAGGAAACTGGGGGACTTCCCTTCTTGTATGAAATCCCCACCACACTCTCCCAGGAGATGGACACCACTTCTAACCCAAGCCTAGCCCCAGTCCCTGTTCCCACCCCATTCTGACTTAGATATAGAGGTTGTTTCATATTTTTTGTTTGTTTCACCTTTCAGATGATTCTTCATCAAAACAGGGCACCCAGATCTCCAGACACAGGACCCCATCTCTCCTGTTTGTGTCTGCTTTCCTGGGTTGAAAACACCTCGTGAATGGTAAATCCCAAAGCTTTACCATTTCAACCTTAGCTCTGCACCCAGTCAGAAAGGATGTCCGCTGCTGTGGTCTTACCTCTCATCCCACATGCCCTGACCACTAGAAGCAAATGCTTCCTTGATTCCAAGAGTCAGGCTGTGGCTGTGCAGAGTGACCAGGCAAAGAACATGTAAGCATTACTCTGCTAAAGCAGCTTGGTCATGCAATGGTAACCAGGGTAGGAAAGTTCATGTCCAGAAGCCCTGCACAGAGTCTGTTGTCTTAATTATTTCTAGGAGTGCATCCTTCTGCATTCCCCAAGGAGATGATAAACTCTTCCACAGAAAGAGCTGCAGCATTTCATTCCCCAGTGGCCCAGCATAGAGAAGATGTTGTGTTACTAATTGGGTTGGGCCAAATTAATCTATTCCTGATAGGCCAAAGAAGCATCTCTGTCTCTTTCTGGGTTTCCAGGGCTCTTACCAGACAGCTCTGGGGTTTCCTGGCATACCTACAATGTGATTAGAATTTGGCCTGTTGTGATTGTCAAAATGGGCCAGGCATGGTGGCTTATGCCTGTAATCCCAGCACTTTGGGAGGCCGAGGCAGGTGGATCACTTGAGGTCAGGAGTTCGAGACCAGCCTGACCAACATGGTGAAACCCTGTCTCTACTAAAAATACAAAATTAGCCAGGCACGGTGTCGGGTGCCTGTAATCCCAGCTACTTGGGAGGCTGAGGCAGGAGAATTGCTTGAACTCAGGAGGCAGAGATTGCAGTGAGCCAAGATCATGCCACCACACTCCAGCCTAGGCAACACAGTGAGACTCTCTCTCTCAAAAAAAAAAAAATCTAGACTATGATCATGGCAAGTTAGCAAGAGGCTATAAAATTTATCTGTCACTCAGAATCTATTTTTTAATACCTTTATGTTGGTTGTGCTTTAGATTCTCTTGGAAAATCATGAGAGGGAAGAGCCCTAGAGTGCAGAGGAAAGCACTCTGAGGGCTTGGTCTTTAAAGTTTGCTCCTCTCCCCGCAACATACACACACACACACATCCATGCATCCACACACACGCACACCTTCATCTGGGAGCAGCAGAGCTAGCTCTTCCCCACCCATTTTCTCTTTCATTCAGTTTAACTTAATAGGAACTGAGGCTTAGACAGCAAATAGTGCTCAATAACAATAATCATAGCCCGAATTGAGCATAACTGACCTGGCCTCTTTGAGATTCAGGGTTACCAGAACATGTCATTAAGGGATTCTCTGACAGAGGCTCAATGACAGACAGTGGTGAAAAGCCCTCTGAAATAGCTTCACCATGAGAGAGGAGACTCTGGACGGGTGACAGAGGGCCTAGAACCCATCAGACGGGGAGTTGGTTCTGGAAACAGCATGCAGCTGACACTGACACCTCCTTCCAACCCATTCACCTGACCCTATGGGACTGCTAGGGAAATGGCTAGCACTTGTGAACTGAAGAGTTTGGACCCTAAAGAGCTGTGCCATTGACAGCTAGTCCTGCATGGCAGACATGAAGCAGAGTATCACAAGTTACAGGGACCCGGGAAAGAAGAAAGGGGAGAATGGGGGAGAATGTCTGCTTTTGCCTCCTGGAACACAGCCAGATTTCAACAGCAACTACTCAAGATGAGGGTAATCAGGACTGACCCTTTGGACTGGGTTAGCATTTTTGAGAGACTTGGCCAAACCAGGGGAAAGAATGGACTTCCTACTAATCTAACCCTATAGAAGCTCAGCCTCACTGAGAATCCCACATTAAAAGAAACTCAGTCCTTTTCATTAAAGACTGAAACACAGAGACAACTTTTAAGAATGATTATTCTTAAAATAGCATATCCTACTTAGGAAATAAACCTTAACTATCTTTTCTTGGGAAAAAAAGTCTAGAGTCTTCACTTTTTAAATCAGGAATACAGAATTCTCAGGATTTCCTTTCCTTTAATGATTTTTAAAGTGTTTTTGTTTCTTGAAGAGCCAACATGGGTTTGAGGGTATATTCCTGTGTGGTTGAGAAAAAAATTTCTCTTTGTATTCCAGCAGACAATGTCCAGACCTGGCCCAGGCTGCCCTCATCTCTCTTAGCACTAGAACCTGTCCTGTCCCAAATACATTCACCGTCATCTACCTTAGCCATCAAAGGAATTACAGTTACAGTTACTTTAGGGCTGGAGAACAAAATTATCCAACATTTATCTGGCTCCCAAATCCCTAATTGTGTCTTCAGATAGAGCTAGAGGAGCTATTAGTTAGCAGAATAAGGGCAATACTATTCCACTGCATTCAACACTGAATTACAACCAGTTTTGCAATCTGCCTTTGTGGAATTTCCAGTGCAAGAATTTATAATAAACTCATGAAAGGACTCTTTATTTTTTTTTTTTTGAGGTGGAGTCTCACTCTGTTGCCCAGGCTGGAGTGCAGTGGTGTGACCGTGGCTCACTGCAACTTCTGCCTCCTGGGTTCAAGTGATTCTCCTGCCTCAGCCTCCTGAGTAGCTGGGATTGGGATTACAGGCACACACCACCACATCTGGCTAATTTTTGTATTTTTAGTAGAGACAGGGTTTTGCCATGTTGGCCAGGTTGGTCTTGAACTCCTGACCTTAAGTGATCTGCCTGCCTCAGCCTCCCAAAGTGCTGGGATTACAGGCGTGAGCCACTGCACCCAGCTGAAAGAACATTTTTAGTTATAAATTTTATTTCTAAAAATTTTAGTTCTAGCCAGAATGAATGCTTAACTAAGAAAGTAAGAAGAAACAAAAAAGTACAAGAAAATGATAGAAAATCTTGTTCATGAGAAGTGGGTATGGTTGTTAAAGTAAATATGAGAAAAGCTGGTGTTTTAGGGGCTTCACTGTCTAAAGAAGAAAAGCTGCCCCCAAAATGGAAGGTAAATAACTGCCCAAATAAAACATTAAAATCGCTGAAGCCTACCACACCAGATGTAATAGTCTCAGGGGTTAAGGCTGGGATGTCAAAGTTACACCAGGGAGTGATTTGGTAACAGCCAAAAGGCAGAGAACATTGATTTGGGCTAATAGGCAATTATAGACTCAGTTTCATTCAAGATTGTAATTCCTAACTGAATTTTTTTAAAAAGCAGGACCACAATCTGTACCCTTGGGATTTTTTACCCTTATTTCTCCCCCTCCAAAAATAAACAAATTCTTGTAAGCCATCACATAAATTAATCAACGGTGCTCAGAAGAGTCGTGATTTTCTTGGGCAAAATGGCACATAACAGGCAAAAAAGAAAAAAAATGCGTCATATGTAAGTCAGGCCACCTTAGGCTGGACTAATGACTCCCTCCTCTCTGTTCCCTCAGTGATGGCTCACACTTTCATGAGAGAATTTATCACACTGTGATGTTGTGGAGAATCACTGGCTTCTATGACTGCTCCCTTTCTCTGGACTGTGAGCTCCCTGAGGCCAGAGACTTTGTTTCATTCTTTCACATAAATTCCCTTGGCACTTAATATATCCCCGGAGTGCAGTGGTACAGAATCAACGATTACTCAGCAAACAAACACTCCCCAGGTTCTGTACTGCACCCAGTCCCCTGTATGAGGTGTAAAAGTCATTTAGCACTAATGCGTCACTAGGATTTGAATCCAGATCGATGTGAGTCCAGCATCCTCAGTCTTAACTCTTTTGTAAACCTGCCTTTCCTAAGAAGGATCAGTCCATAAATGGGAGACAACACCAGCTTTCCTCTTCCCCCAGTGGCTGCTCTGCCTTAGTCACCTTGCTGGTTCTTCTTCATCTGTCCTGTGTCTTAAATTCGCAGCTACCCCAGGGCTCAGTTTTCAGGCTTCTTCTCTATATTTATACTAAGTAATCTCATTCAGTCCCAATCATACACTGACCACTCTCAGATATGCTTGGTCATCCTGGCAGCCTGGACCTCTCTCCTGAACTCCAGATGTGCCACATGCCTGGACCTTTCCACTTAGATGTCTAAGGGGAATCTATCTATAGCTTAATATGTGAATTGAATTATCTGGACATCGGCTGGGCATGGTGGCTCATGCCTATAATCCCAGCACTTTGGGAGACCAAGGTGGGTAGATCACTTGAGGTCAGGAGTTCGAGACCAACCTGGCCAACATGGCGAAATCCATCTCTACTAAAAATACAAATAAAAAAAAAATTAGCCAGGTGTGGTGGTGCACGCCTGTAATCCCAGCTACTCGGGAGGCTGGGATGGGAAAAGCATTGGAACCAGAGAGGCAGAGGCTGCAGTGAGCTGAGATCACATGACTGCACTCCAGCCTGGGCAATAGAGTGAGACCCTGTTTCAAAAAAATAAATAAATAAATAATAAGAATTATCTGGGCACTTGTTGGGCAGATGGATGCAGTGTTTCTGAGCCCGCAGGGATAAAGGGAGAACATAAGAAGTTAAGAGCTGTGGAGAGCTGGACCCTTGGGTTCACCCATGTGATTCCATCATATTATAACCATATTCGCATAGTGACCAGCATGGATAGTGTGGATTTCATGGATGTTTCTGGTAAACTGAACTCATTACAGTCTCAAAATATGATAATTATACCAGGAGAGACTTGAGATCCTGGTTTCAATAAACGCTGAGAAGTAGGAGGAAGCACTTGGTAAACATATGAAAAAGTCTTCAAAGTCGCCCTGGCTGGAATGCAGTGGCACAATCTTGGCTCACTGCAACCTCCACCTCCCAGGTTCAAGCGATTTTCGTGCCTCAGCCTCCCAAGTAGCTCGGACTACAGGCACATGCCACCACGCCCAGCTAATTTTTGTATTTTTAGTAGAGATGGGGTTTCACCATGTTGGCCAGGCTGGTCTTGAACTCCTGATCTCAATTAATCCACCCACCTTGGCCTCCCAAAGTGCTAGGATTGCAGGCATGAGCCACAGCGCCCAGCTGAAAAAGTCTCCAAAGTCATGGTGGGCAGCATCCAAAGCAAACTAATTGCTCAGGTAAGGCATCAGAAAGGAAGGTTTAATAGCCTTGGCACCCACACCAGACATCCTTGTGATTTCTCTAAACTCCAAATCTGATCACATAACTTCCTTGCTTGAAATCCCTTATCAGCTCGTCACCTTTTATGGGATTGGATGTCAACTTCTCCGCAAGGCATCCAAGGCCTTTCATGGACTGGCTCCTCACCTGCCTGCTCTCTAACCCCTCCTGTCCTGCCCGTCCACCTCAGTGACGTGGACCACTGCAGTTATCCAAACACGTCTCTATACTTTTGTTCATGCTATTGCCTCTACCTGGAATTCTCTCTTCCTATTTATTCACCCAGGAAACCCTGACTCAGCCCATCCTCTGTGCAGTTCCCCACAAACTTTTCCCTCTTCTCCACGGCAGAATGAGTTTCTTTATCCTCTGGGTTCCTTTAACCCTTTTGTACGTCTTTTAGCCCATGACAATGTCATTCTTTGTTAATTGCTTTGTCTCTCAACTAGACTCTGAGGTCTTCAAGGGAAAAGTCTGATGTTTGAGCTTTTTAAATCCTTCATGCCCAGTGTCATTCTTGGAACACAGTAACTGCTTAGAAAATGCTTGATAAAATGAATGAATGTATGAACAGCTGAGCCCTTGCCGCAACAGACGAAAAATAGTATGTAGTTATACCAACGTCCCACTAGAGGGAGCAATGCAAAACTTGATGCCCTCTAACAGCATTTAAGGCTTGTTCTCAACTAAAGTAATACGATAAAATATTTTCCATTTTAAGCTAAACCTAATGTAAATCAATCCCTGATACACCTGATGAAACATATTTATAAATGTTCACTATATTCCAGGTTCTGAGTTTCACAGTGGATACTTCTTATGGGTACAGATGAATGGAAAGGGCAGGGGACATATGTACTCATATTTTGTATTTTTATGTTATGTAGCGTGCATCACAAAGCTTTGCTCTTCGCAGACATAATCTCACTTCTAAAGTCTGCTCCACCTAGAAGCTTATTGCTCCACGTACAATAAATTCTGTGGAATCCGATGACTACACAGCTTCTTAATTTCCTATTGTCCTATATCCGTCATATCCTGTCTTGAACACACACACTTACTGTGGATGAGGTCAGGAAACACAACTCATACAGCCTCATATCTATAATTTCGATCAATTTTGAGTTCAATACTAGTGTTCAATGAATGTGTCTGGCTGACACATGCTCAGCCTGAGACCAGCATCCCCCCACCTGAGTAAATGTGTCCTTGCAGATTCCTTAGCATCCAGCATTGTTCAGTTCAGCATTCAGCACAGCGTATTGTAATTGTCTGTGTACTTACCTACACCCAGACAAGACTGTGAACGCCCTGAGGAGACTAGCATGATCTTATTCTTTCTCCTAGCTTTGGCTGCCAGCACCTAAGTGTTAGGTAAATATTTTTTTAAACAAGTAAGCTAATTCCATAATTTTATAAGGTAGTGAGAGAGTGATTTCTGCCAGCAGTCTCGGGAAGAGGCTGGATTGCTTTGGGTCTGTACACAGACATGCGTGTATACATGTTGTAGAAGAGCTGGTCTTGTATGTAGGAAACTGTCTACTTTAAGGCTACTAGGAAAGCACACACACACACACACACACACACACACAAAATCCTTCCCTAGAATCTTCCCAAATCAGAAGCTGAGGTGTCTGACTTTCACCATTAGAGAGTCATACCTTTGGATATACATGGCTTCCTCTCAACATATCTTGAAACTATGTGACCTTGTTATCAAAAAAAAAATAAATCTCAAACATCCCCAGCATCTGAGATGTATCCTCAAGCAGTGTTCCCCCTAGCTCTGTTGAGAATCTCAGATAGACCCTCTGCTTACTTTCTGTATTTTGCATTATAAAGTGACTGACTTGTGTCTTTAAATATTTATAGCTATATGTCAAGTAAGTACTTTCAAATTATATATATCATGATATTTACAATTAGAATATATCAATTTGTAGAACTCCATGAATTCATAATGATACTAAAAATAAAAACCAAAACTTAATTGGCCACCATTAAATCTAGTGATCAACTTCTTACCTTGAAAATTGGCAAATGAAGGGAAAGAATCAAGCATTTATTCTTTCCTATATAAACTGTACCACTGGGTAACCAAAATTTAATTAAGGTAGAAATTTGTCTTCACAACAAGAATTCAGCAACTAAGTAAAGAATAAATGACAGAATCAGAGTATCACTCCCTGAAATAGAATTATAATGTATTCATGAATTAATGAATTTAGACATTGAGCATCAATGTCTGGTAACATCACAGAAAGAAAGGCAACCAGACATCATATGCCTTCTGATGGAAGTACAAAATACCAAGTATAACAAAGTGTGATCAAACTTCTAGATCCAACAATCAATTCATAAGAAATATAGAGAAGAGCATAACATGTTAAACCAACAAAGTATTTTTAAAAGACAACATTTATGAGACAATCAAAAATGTGAACACTGGCAGTATATATGATTATATTAAACAGTTAACTTCAGTGTTTTTTAGGTTGGATAATGCCATTGAGGCTACATTAAAAAAACCCTTAACTTTTAGAAATGCACACTAAAATATTTACAGATGAAATAATATGATGTTTGGGATTTGCTTCAAAAATAATGCAGAGTAGGGACAGGGCAGTGGTTGGGCATATAAATGAGACAAGATGGCCTTGAGTTGACAGTTGCTGAAGCTGGGCAATAGGTATATGGGAGTTCATTCTCCCATTTTGTCTACTTTTGTATACACTTAAAATGTGCCATATAAAACATTTTTTTCTTTTAAATTATTAACTGATTCCGAAACATTCTGATATTCTTGTCCTAAGGGATAGCTATCCTTCTCCCACTCCTTGAGATCATTATCCTAGAGAATCTTCTGGAAATTGCAAATATCCCAAGGAAAGTAACTTGTTAATTCATTAACAGCTATCTGTAAACTAATACAGAGGGTTATTTCCTGGACTGCCTTTAACACTGAAAATATGGAGTTCCTGTGAGTAGAAGTAAAAGAAAACGTTGGGGGAGGGAAACGGAAGGGCAGAGGGAGGGAAAAAGAAGAACAAATTTTGTCTTCATTACAGTTTTCCTAAGGCCTTCATTTGTTGGCATATACATCATCGTTGTGCAGGTTTTACTAAGAGAACTTTCACGGGGGGGCGGGGCGGGGAGAAATGCTTACATTCTTGGCTCTTAGGTTAAATTTTCACAAAGGATCCCTTTTTATGTTGTCAAAGGATAATATAAATATTTTTAGGACAAAAAGGGCTTCTTTTTCCATGACCCAGTGAGCCAATGATGAGACTGCTTGGGTGGGGCTAGGGTAAATTTTTACCTGAACCTGAGAACCGTCTAGACCTGTACACAAGACCACAAGGGTGTGGAAACCGGGAGAGTAAGAGTCACCTCAAGTGCTTGAGAATATAGCTTTCATAGAAGATCTCTGGAAGAACACCAAGAAAGTGGCTGCCTCTGGGGAGGGAAACTGGGGCACTTGGGATATGTTGGGAGGGGGAAAAAGGATGGCTCTTTATTGCTATAGCCAAGTTATACTGTGGTCAGCACCTTAAAATATATGATGACATCTTGCAAACAGGCTTTTGTTGACCTAAGTGACTGTACCTTTTATCTTGAAATTACATAGAAGACAAATGGCTATTTATGGGTTCCTTGGCTGGCCCAGCTGCTGGGCACCACCCGCTCTGTTTGCATGTGTTCCTCATATTCTCCGGCCCTGTCCTCCCATCCCCACCCCAGCCTCTCCGAATCTAATTAGGAATAGTAGATGGTCACTAGAACTGACAAGAATCGCATTCTAATGGTTTTATTACAACTTCTATGGTGTGACACAGTATCAGGGAAAACCCAAATTTCCCACAGTAGCACTCCAATAGCAGAGCTATTATTTTGCTTCTCATTTCTCTCATTTTGGACGCTCCTGTTTTACCGTAAATATTCAAGTGAATTCTGCGGCTTATGATTTAAGCACTCTGTTTCTATAGAACATGGTAGCATAAGTTACTATTAGGAAAAGGATCTCACCATCTTTATCCTGTGGTCTCAAGCAGCCCTGCACACTTGCAAATCCCTAGAATACTGAGTCTACTTTTATATTTTTGCTTTTTCCTGTTTATTTAGGTGTTATTTAAATACATTAAAATTCACCCATTTTAACTGTACAGTTTAACTTTTCTTATGTATACAAGGTGTAACTACTAGCATGATCAAAATGTAAGATGGTTCCTTTACCTTCAAAAGCTTTTCCATCCCCTTTTGTCCGAGTTCAGTTATGAGACACTGGATTGGGTTTCACAGCCTTTTCTAGCATTGACTGGGGTGATTTCAGTAAAGTCACTTTACCTCTCTAGATGTGTTTCTGCTGTTGTTAAATGGGGAATGCTGGAACAGATTTGTTTGCGGGGACTCTTCCAATACTTTCAGAAAATGCGAGAATAGGGTGAGGGTGGGAATCTCAGACTTGTGGGCCCCATGATTGATATAACACACACAGGCGGCAGACCCTAATGGGTAAAAGCATGTGGTTGCATCAGTTAAGGTTTTTCTCTCTTCTCTTGCTAGCGTGTTATCTTTTCTTTTCTTTTCTTCTTTTTTTTTTTTTTCGAGATGGAGTCTAGCTTTTGTCGCCCAGGCTGGAGTAGGCTGGAGTGCAGTGGAGTGATCTCGGCTCATTGCAACCTCCACCTCCCGGGTTCCAGCGATTCTCCTGCCTCACCTCCTGAGTAGCTGGGATTACAGGCGCCCGCTACCACGCCCGGCTGATTTTTGTACTTTTAGTAGAGACGGGGTTTCACCATGTTTGGCCATGCTGGTCTCGAACTCCTGACCTCAGGTGATCCGCCCATCTCGGCCTCCCAAAGTGTTGAGATTACAGGCGTGAGCCACCGCGCCCGGCCGCTAGCGTGTTATCTTTTCTAAGCATCAGTTTCCTTATCTGCAACACCAGGCTTATTAACAAGACCTATCTGTACACTGTTGTGGTGATGAAGTGAGATGTTCAGGCACCCTTAAATGTTGGTTGATATTTTTATTGCAGTATACTGTAAAGTCACTGCATTCGACTATCTCCGCTACTACACATTTACGCAGACTGATTTCCATAACCAAAACACAAGCACAAAGCTCATGCCCCCGACTCACGCAACCCGGGAAGCCCAGCTGCCCACGTTCTAGGGCTCTGAGAACACTAGTGAACGAACTCCCGTGCTTTCAAAGAGCTGCGGTAGGGGGCAGAACCGGGAACCGGATGTTCTAAGCCTGTCGTACGAGCGCGACGTAAAGCGGATCTGCTTTATGGCACCTTGCTTTCGCCGTAAAGCGCAGTCAGCGAGCCCACGTGCTTGTGTTGACTGGACAACTTCCTGGTGGAAAACCGCGACTCTTGCAAGTGGGCAAACTTGACGTTTTCGCTATGGGCAAACGCGGGAGCCGGAGCCAGAGCCAGCTACTCAACACCCTAACTAAAAAGCAGAAGAAACATCTTCGAGATTTCGGCGAGGAGCATCCCTTCTATGACAGGTCTGAAGGGGCGTGGCAGGGCTCCCCAGTCGCCAGAGATGTATCCTCGAGTTTGGTCCTCTGGTCTCCCAGATAGTGCTGCTCCGGCCTTTTCCCACTATTCCCTGGCTCCCGCTGTGCTCGGCCGGGGAGATTCTGGCGCCATCCCGCCGGGAGATGGAGTGCTTCACGGGCCTTTTTGTTGAGCCTGTAATTTCCTGCTAAGAGGCACGCCCGTTGTGTGGGGGAGGATTTTTTTTTTTTTTTTAAGACGGTGTTTCGCTCTGTCGCCCAGGCTGGAGTGCAATGGCGCGATCTTGGCTCACTGCAACCTCTGTCTCCTCCCGGGTTCAAGCGATGCTCCTGCCTCAGCCTCCCGTGTAGCTGGGATTACAGGCGCCCGCCACCAAGCCCGGCTGATTTTTTGTATTTTTAGTAGAGATGGGGTTTCACCATGTTGGCCAGGCTGGTCTTGAACTCCTGACCTCAGGTGATCCACCCACCTCGGCCTCCCAAAGTGCTGGGATTACAGGCGTGAGCCACCGCGCCCAGCTATGGGGGCGGATTTTTGTGTGGTCAGAGATCTAGGAATTTTTTGTAGACACACATATATATATGTATATATATAATTTTTTTTTTTTAAGACAGAGTCTCGCTTTGTCGCCCAGGCTGGAGTGCAGTGGCGCGATCTCAGCTCACTGCAACCTCCGTCTCCCGGGCTTAAGCGATTCTCCTGCCTCAGCTTCCCGTGTAGCTGGGATTACAGGCGCCCGCCATCACACCCGATCAATTTTTTGTATTTTTAGTTGAGACGGGGTTTCACCATGTTAGCTAGGGTGGTCTCGAACTACTGACCTCGGGTGATCTGCCCGCCTTGGCCTCCCAAAGTGCTGGAATTACAGGCGTGAACCACCGCGCTTGGCCTGTTTTTATAATTATTTTTAACTTACATAAAATGATTGTACATATTTGTGGGATACAGTGTGATATTTTGATAACAATACATGTACCCAATGTGTAATGATCAAATCCGGGTAATTAGCATATTCATCATCTCAAACATCAATTCTTTGCGTTGGGAACATTGAAAATCCGCTCTTCTAGCCATTTGAAAATATACAATAAATTGTTAGTTATAGTCACATCATATGTTGTGTGTGTTTTTAAAGAATTTGTTGGGACATCATTGATCTTTGCAATTACGATAAGGAACTAAGTGTATTAGTAGTTGTGGTTTCTCTAGAAATGTCTAGGTGCAGTTATGATCTCAATGCTCATCCCACTACTTTGGGCTGCTTTGTCATCAGTTAGGGACATTCTTTTTTTCTTTTCTTTTCTTTTTTCTTTTTTTTGAGGCAGGGTCTCACTTCGTTGCCCAGGTTGGAATCCAGTGCTGCAATCCTGGCTCACTGCAGCCACCACCTCCTGGGCTCAAGCGGTCCTCCTGCCTCAGCCTTCCCAGTAGCCGAGACTACAGGTGCACAACACAACTCCGGGCTAATTTTTCTTATTTTTTTGTAGAGACAGGGTCTCCGTATGTTACCCAGGTTGGTCTCAAACTCCTGGGCTCAAGTGATTCTCCCACCTTGGCCTCCTAAAGTGCTGGGATTCCAGATATGAGCCACCGCTCCCAGCTTAGAGGGACATTCTAATTAAGAAATTTGCTAGAAAAACATGAACCCCGAAATCTTTTATTTAGCCAAGTTGTATCCTTCTTTTGGATGAGAGCCTTGTGTGACTCTAGGGTTTGTCATGTGACCTCCTTAAACTTTTCATTTGTCAGTTATTAACCATATTCTTGCCAGCCCTGCCCAAGTGCATGTGTAATTTTTGCATGACTATATCTAAAATGTATTTATAATGTTATATTCTGCCTTTTTCATTTAACATCTCATTTGACCTTTTCCTAATTTCTACATACTAGTAGTTAGAATGTAACATTGCCTGTTTCTTTTTAGGGTTTCCAGAAAGGAAGCAAAGCCACAGATTTGTCAACTGGTAATGCTTTCTACCTTCTTTTTAATAGTTGGTTTTGGGTTGTTCCCACTAAGATTATATCTAATAATAAAGCTTGATTACATTTCTATTCCTTTTGATTTCAGATGCAAGCTATTATTTTGGCAGTATCACTTAATTTTAAATGCAGATGTCTATAAAAATGCCATTGTGATATCTAATACAGAAGCCACAGTTTGAAATTGTCCCAGGAGACTAGCCTATTAGGCCCTGTTACAGAGGCTTATCAGAGGGCTCTTAGTGAATCCTAAGAGGGAATATCTTTTTTGGTTAGCATAAAGGAGTCACAAATACAGTGCAAAATGAACAAAGGGCCTATCATATTACAACAAACTAAAAAAAAAAAAAAAGAAACCTGTTTTCTTTTGTTGTTTTGTAATTATCCTGTTGTTCTATTAAACCTGTGGCCTAATGCCTGGGACATAAATTAAATCTCATAACCTGAAGTTTTATGTTTTAAAAGTGGGGCAGTAGCAGTTTGGAGCATATGAAGAGCTTCTAGAATCATAGCTAGATTAGCAATTTTAAGTAAATTTGAATTTGGGCTTCGTTGAATAGATGTTGGCTTGATGATAGTTTTAGGGTAACAATAAGAACAATATAGTTTTTGTTCTTAAAATTCTCCTTTTCCTTTTAGTCAGAGAGTTCAGATTCTTCAGATTCTGAAAGCGACTCAGAGAGTGAACCACAACAAGTTTCTGGCTACCACAGACTACTTGCTACATTAAAGAATGTTTCTGAGGAAGAAGAGGAAGATGAGGAGGAGGAAGAGGAAGAAGACAGTATTGTAGATGATGCAGAAATGAACGATGAAGATGGTGGTAGCGATGTCAGTGTGGAAGAAGAGATGGCTGCAGAGTCTACTGAAAGTCCAGAGAGTAAGTGTCTTTACTATAGGCTCATCATCTTTGCCAGAACTATAGACAGTTCATCTCATGAGCATGGTACCTTATATACTGTGTGAGTTGGATGAAAGGACATGAATCCAAAATAGGGATTTACCCTTGTTGGGTTTGATTGTATCTTTGAGAATCTGATGGAAACACAGAACCTTCTTAGCACAGCTAGGCAGAAATAACATTTTTGCTTGTAATTTCAGGGACTTCATCAGTACTAGTGAAAGACCTCCTAATACAGAGGAAGGAGAACACAGTTCTGTCTTTGTGACTGTCTGAATTTATTGAAGAGGTTACTGTTCTTCTCTTAGGGAGACCAAGTTTGATGGAAGATAGACATAAATATATATAAAAAATTTCAAACAGTAGATTTGCGATTGCATGGAACAGCTAGATGTAAGGTGTTGAAGAGAGGCAGAGTGGTTGAACACTGCCAGTGTAAATTAGGGAAGGCTTCAGGGACTCTGTGTCACTCAGACTTGAAGGTGACTTTTTTCTTTAACTTCAAAATCACCTTCATTGAGGTATCATTTACATACAGTAAAACGTATCCAATTTAAATATACAGTCTGACAGGTTTTGACAAAGGTATACATCCAAATCAAGATACAGAACATTTCCATTACCTCCAAAAATTTTTCTTATCCTTTTGCAGTCAGTTCCCCACCCTTGGCATCAGGCAGCCACTGACCCGCCTTCTGTCACTGTAGATTAGTTTTGCCTGTTCTAGAAATTCATATAAATTGAATCATACAGTATGACTCCTTTTGTGTCTAGCTATTTTTGCTTCTCATGTTTTTCTAATTTATTTGTGTTGTGCATGTATTAGTCACTTACTACTTTTTAGTTGCTGGAATAGCATTCCATTGTCTGAATATAGCTGGGTGACTTTTTACTCATTATTTTAATGCCTATTTTTCTTATAGCCTTATTTTTTTTTTATACCTTCTGGTATTATATATCATTCCAGGTATTTTAACTGATCAGTTTTACTGAGATAAAAATTCATTGACTTACACTTAGGAGTTTGTTTTGTTTGTTTCTATTTTTCTTTGCTTTTTTGGATTTTTAAAAATGAAAATTTTTTTATCATTATAAAAATAATATATATTTACTGTAAACATTTAAGAGGGTAATATAGTTACCCTCTATCCCTGCTACCCAGAGATAAACACCTTTAGCATTGTATATAACCTTTCAGACTACATTTTTATGATTATATATGAGTATGTATATATATTTATGTGTATCTGTATAATGGCCTTATACATTTCCGTAACTTCCTACATCTGTGACTGTGGATTCACATTAGCTTCTTAATTACATAGTATTCCATTGTAAAAATATGATTGTACCCCATTGATAGACCCTTTTTCCCCCAGTTATTTCTTATAATCAGTGCTGCTTTGAACATCCTCTCATGTACATCTTAGTGTACTATGTCTGGTTACTATTTTAGAATAAGTTCCTAGAACTAGAAGTGGGTATATTAATTCGAAATCTCCAGAGAAACAGAACCGGTAGGATATGTGTGTATATGAGAAAGAGATCTGGCTCACGCCTGTAATCCCAACACTTTGGGAGGCTGAGGCAGGCAGATCGATTGAGCTTAGGAGTTTGAGACCAGCCTGGCCAACATGGCGAAACCCCATCTCTACAGAAAAATACAAAAATTAGCCAGGCATGGTGGTGCATGCCTGTAGTTTCAGCTACTCGGGAGCCTGAGGTGGAAAAATCACTTGAGCCCAAGAGGTGGAGGTTGCAGTGAGCCAAGATGACACCACTGCACTGCAGCCTGGGTGACAGAGCCAGACCCTGTCTCAATATATAAATAAATAAATAAACGCTCATCCAAAAATACCCTCGCAGAAACATCCAAAATAATGTTTGGCCAGATATCTGGGCACTGTGTCCCAGCCAAATTGAGACATAAAACCCACCATCATGCATCATGTGTTGATGATTAGGCTTAATTTTGAAATCTATGTTTTCTACCTGAATTTACCTAAATATAAATAGTATCAATGAACGCTATTGTTGGTATAGCCTAAGGAAATAAATTTTGTCAACAGAAGTATAATTTGTGAGTAAATAATTTTATAAAATGTTTCTCAAAACTGCAGATGTAGCTTTATCTGCTGACCCTGAGGGAAAAGAAGATGGGGAAGAGCCACCGGGCACATCACAAACATCCCCCGAAGAGTTCACAGATGCAAAACACGAGTCACTGTTCAGCCTGGAAACCAATTTTCTGGAAGAGGAAAGTGGAGACAACTCTTCTTTGAAAGCCTCTCAAGGTCATAGCACAGTGTGTGTTATTTGAATTCACCAGGTGCTTAGTATGGAATTTGTGTACTAATACACATTGAATCTATTATTGGAACAAACAGCAATAAAAACAGTTTAGTGGCTAGATCTAGAGCTGGGAAAAATAATTCTAAAAGGTATTTTGTGTTTCTCAGTGTTTAGGGGTTGGACGGGACATTTAGGAGAACAAACAAGAATGATGGTAGGGAAGGCCAGCTTCCCAGGCCTCACATTTTCATTATTGGAGTCAGGGGAAGATTTCTGATTTTCTCCCCAAGTAGGGAAAGAGAAAGAAAAAGAGGAAAAAATACTTCCTCTACCCCTCACTTGCTGTTCCTTTTTGGAGCAGTAATTTTTCAGATTTGCAAGACCCAGGGGTGGCTAATCTGAGTGGTCTTTATTACCAGGGAGACCCTCAAAAGCCAAAAAGCCCTACCCTGTGTCTCCTGCCTCCCACAGACTCTTGACCACTCCTGTGACCAAATGGCAGTCACGTGGTCAAGACGTGCCTATGGCGGGCTTTGATGGGTTCCTGCTGTCTCAAGTCCAGTTTCTCAGCCAGTGTCTGGGTGGGCAAGTCAGGTTGGTCTCGTTCTGTATCCTGATTGCCTTCATTGATCTCATTGCCATTCTTCAACCCAGCTTTACCTTTAATGAAACAGAAATTTTAATCCTCATTTGACTCATTTAGTTCTGTTGGTTATTTTGCAGGAGAAGAAGTGACAGGTAGAATTTGTAGATTTTAGTACAAACTCCATTCTGAACCATTAAAACTTAGAAACTTTGGAGGAAACATTAGGAAGCTTGACTGTCCCATAATTTCTGTGGTTGTTTTGCTCATACAGATATATTAGCATCTAGAATTCTTATGTCCTGTTGTTCACTCTTAGATATTTAATACAAGATGCATTTCATTTGAAATTTTACTGTTTGGATGCTTGGATGGGTCATTTAACTTTGTTCTGTTTCTTATGAGTGGGACTGGGAGAGAAGGTTGGGTGGCTAGCTCAGAATACTAAAGATTACTTGGAGTGCAGATGCTATCATGTGGATCATTTGTTCAATTCAGTGGAGTATTGGTCATATCTGTGTGTCCCAGTGCAAGATCAATCAGACATGGAACCTGTTCTTAGAGACCTTGCAGTCTGCTAGATAAGACATGTATATATGTATATGTGTTGGAATGGGTGGGTTGGGCAGAGTAGGAGACTTGAGAAAGTGATGACTCTAGGGAACAAGGTGAGCCAACGTTGTGCCTAACACAGTAAGCCTGGGAAGTATTTATTGTGATTCAGTGGGTAACATTAAATTGATAACATTTGGATATGCAAAAATGAAGTGAAGGAGAGGCTGGAATTTTTAGTTGAAGGAAGGAAAAGCACAGAGGCAGAAGAATTTGAGGGCCATATAGTCCAGAAATGATAACGGAGATGCAGGTTGGAGGTATATCCTAAAGTGCTCTGAATTCCAGGCTGAGAAGTTTCTTCAAAAGTTTTCAAGCTGGGAAGTAATATAATTAGAGAAATGTTTTAGGAAAATGAACCTTTCAGAAGTTTTTAAGCTCTGGACTTGGCCAGAGGGTGGGGAAAGTCAATGGAGAAAAGGATGAGTTAACACAATGAAGATCAACATGTCTTTCACAGGGGAAGACCACAAAACCCCTCTGTAGTTGCATAGTGTGCTGACATTTTTTATTTCTGAATTAGATCCATTTCTTCAACATGTGAACAAAGAACTGAAAGAAAAAGCAATTCAGGCTGTTGCCACAAATCCCAAAACTACCCACGAGCTTAAAGTAAGTGTTGCTTGGTCATCCCGGTCACAAATAGAGAAAGCTCTAAATAAAACAGTGGTCTTGGGTTTTAGTGGCCTCCCAGAATGTATGATATACACCTGCAGTAGATGGCTTGATAGGGAAGCAGGGCATAAGGAAGGCTAGAAGAGCCTAGTGGGGCACAGTTGTAGCTAGAAAACGCACCAGGAAGCTGGAGTGTGGGTGCCAGATAATATAATGATGGGTAAGAGTGGATTTGGAGACCAACATCTTCAAGGAGCTATCACATTTTGACCCAAGGCAAGTTCATCTGCTTTTTTGCTATTCACTATTCTAGTCTGCTAGAGGGGGATAATAATACCTATCTCAAAATAGAATAGTTTACTAATACATAGTGTTCAGTAAAACAGTGTTCATTAAAACAGTAGGTACTACTGTTGTTCATTTGTTTGAAATATCTGAGGTAGGTCCACAAATAAATTATCCAGATATTGGGCAGTTTTTGCTTCTTTGTTCTTACCACTGATGCCATTCATGAGAGTTGGTCATCCTTTTTTTAATTGAAATTTTTATTGAGGGAATAATTATAGATATACATGCAGTTGTAAGAAATCATACAAAGACATCTTGTACCCTTTGCCCAGTTTTCCTCAGTGGTGAAATCTTGTAGAACTGTAGTATAATGTCACAGCCAGGAAACTGACATTGATATAATCTACCAGTCTTACTCAGATCTGGTTTTACTCCTGTTCAACTGCATATGCCTGTGCCTATATTTATATACAATTTTATCATGCATAGGTTCCTGTATCTACTCCTGCCATCAAGATGCAGAACATTTCCAGCAAAATACAAATCCTTGTTGCCCTTTTATAACCATATCTGCCTCCCTCTGCACCCTGCCCCACCCCCATTTCTAACCCCTGGTAACCACTAATCTGGTCTCCATTTCTATAATTTTGTCATTTTAAAAATGTTAAATGACTCATACAGCATGTAACCTTTTGAGATTGTTTTTTTTTCACTCAGCATGATTCCCTGGAGAGTCATCCAAGTTATTTCAGCTATCAGTAATTTATTTCTTTTTATTGCTGAGGTTGTCCTATTTTTAGATCAGCAATTTAGCTATAATGCAAAAATTCTTAAACTTGTATCCCACAAAATAGAAAATAGTATTCCTTAGGATTTAAACAAAATGGACAGATTTCTTGTCATAGAACTTGTCAACACCTTTAGTATCGAGTGTACATTGTCAATCTCCCTCAGAGGAATTAAGTTTTGTGATGTTTATCAAGGGTATTTGACCATGGAACCCCTTTGTTTCTAGAATGAATGTTGACTCTTCCCAGAATATATTCCACAGAACAGTGTGGGACAACTGATAGGGTGAAGAGCTCAGATTTGAAGTCAGAAACCTTGGGGTCTAGCCCTCAGCTCCATTTTCTTCTGTGTAAACTTTGTATCATACAACCTCTGTATGAACCTCAGTGCTTCCTAAACTATAACATGAGTATCATGGTAACTACCTTGCAGGGCTGTTGTGAGGATTAAATGAGATGATCTATAAATCATGAAAAAATTCGCTAAATATAGTACTATGTGAATGTAATTTACTGTTATTCATTTCTAATTTGGCTCTTGATCTGTTTCTCCCCTAGTGGCCTATTCTGGGCCAGCTTTTCTTTTCCTCTAAGTTTCAGAAGTTGGAAACATTTAAACCCCCAAAGGATATTGACTTAAAGTCACTTCATCTCCAGAAGCCTCTGGAATCCACCTGGACTAAGACCAACAGCCAGTTCCTATCTGGTCCCCAAAAATCAAGCAGCCCATTCACCCCCCTCCAGAAAGAACTCTTCTTAATTATGAATTCTTACCGGGACCTGTTCTACCCGGAAAGGACTGCTCTGAAGAACGGGGAAGAGATCCGCCATGTGTATTGCCTGCATGTGATAAATCACATCCTCAAAGCCAATGCCCAGGTGCTTGGCAACAATAGCAGACGCCGAAGCCAGAAGTTTGGAGTGGGTGATGATGATGACTTCAGAGACCAAGGGTTAACAAGGCCCAAGGTGAGTCCAGCAGGAAAGCTTTGCTCTCGAGGAGGTGGCTGCAAGGCACTGCCATAGAGGTGCCTGACACTTAGCAGGAACTTGGGTATTTTAATAATTGACTGGCATAATGAATGAGCCCAAATGTGAGCATATTAAGTAGGCCAGGTAGTGTCAGAGCAGCACTGCAGCAGCTTAGTGGGCTGTTTCTGACAGTGGATGTAGCTGGAAACTTGCGAGAAGGAGGCACTTCATGACACTTTCCTTAAAGATAAACCCAGAGTATATAAATAAAACTCCATTATAAATCTCTTCTTTGTGGTTGTCAAAGCTGGATGGGACCTTAATGAGCCTTTTATCCAATCCCTCCATATTACAGCTGTGGACAACCCCAAATTCGTAGAAATTCATAGAGGGCCTTGCTAAAGAGAACCAGGGAAAGAATAGCAGAGATGAGACAAGAACCATAGATTCTCTTCACTAAGCCACATACATACGTCAGCCTTTGAAAGCAAAAATTTACATTTGCCACTGTAAAGTTATTGCTGCTTAAAGTGATGCGTTTGTATTCATAAGTCTAAGCTCTAGTGGATTTGAGGCCTTAACAGGAAATGGCTTTCAATTTTATCTACATTATTCATGATGTTATAGAACCAGGACTTGTCCCCCTGCCCTGAACTGCATCTCTCCGTATTGAAGAAGCCTCATCTTTTTAGAATTTTCTCATTGAGTTTAATAGGATTCTAGAAATTTGATACTAATGTGGCCTTTAGAGATTTCTTAGTCAAACTCCCTTGTGTAATAGCGGGGGAAACCAAAGCCCCGACGCTTACTGTCACCGCTGGAACAATAACCCAGTCCTCTTAAATCTTGGTCCACCATCTCTGCAACTGTACCAAGCTGAGTCCACTGCACTCCTTGGGGCTTGAACATCAGGGTTATAAGGTTGTTTCCATTTAGAATTACATAGAAGAATAAGAGGCAGATTATCTATGAAACATATTATAATTTGGTGAATTACGTGATTTAACTGGGGTTATGTCCATTGTTTACAATAGGAAATTAGAAATTAACCATTTTTTAAGCATCTTCGGTTTTTATTCTCAACAGTAACTTTAAATATTTTTGAATATGCTTAGAAAGCTGAGTCCTGTTTTTCCCATTAATTGTGGTCATTTTTTTTTAGAAATGCTTTATTGTCATTTCTGAAACACTGTATAGAGAATGCACTAGAAATGTAATGATGTGTTAATCCTTTTTCTTACCCGCTTTATTTCTTCTCTACTTGTTCCATTTATTTATTCGACATGTATTTATTCACTGTGTCTTTAGGATAAAAATATTGCACTAATTCTGTGGGAGACACAGAAATCTTTCCCTCAAAGAGCTCATGTGTTTATGTCCTTGAGTTTTTACTGGTAGACGTATCTGTTAGAGGCATTGGCTTATTGTAAAAGGTATTTCCAAATTCTGCTTGAGAAATGTCTCACGTGGACTGATGGGTCTGAAGTCCGCAGGTCATGGTGCTGGGGTTATGAAAGGTGCTCAGTTTCTGGTGTTGAGCCAAGCCCTGCGCAAAGCGGGTAACATAGGTATGTTTCTTGGCTGGGGGCCACTGCTCTACATGGAGCTTTTTAGCTCCACTTCCTCAGCAGTTTCACCTCAAGATCCTGTTCCTTCCTCTTACCCCACTAAGGCTGCTGTTGCTGTCTGCACAGGTACTGATAGTGGTGCCATTCCGGGAAGCTGCTTTGCGGGTGGTGCAGCTCTTCATCAGCCTCCTCGAGGGTGACAGCAAGAAGAAAATCATTGTGAGCAACAAAAAGAGGTTTCAGGGAGAATATGGATCAGATCCCGAGGAGAGACCACCCAACTTGAAGAGGCCTGAGGATTATGAAGCCGTATTTGTGGGCAATATTGATGACCACTTCAGGATTGGTAATTCTTCCTTATCAACTTTGAGACCTAAAGTGTGAAGGTCTACATAGCTGGAGACCAGAAGCTGGAATTAGATATTTTCCCAGTGGATCACTCACTGTGCCTCTTTAACAGAACCAGTGTGCCTTTGAGACATGTTGTTTGCCATGGGAGAGTCTTGCCTTGGCTAATGGGGTGGACATTAGGCCAGTGGAGTCGGGAGGATCTCTGAGGCCATATATGAAAGGCACATGTACATTTATAACAGAAATTTATAGCAAGTTTATAACAGAAGTGTGAAAGCACACCCATAGCTGGTAGCAGATAGATGCTACAAGGGGTTCTCTAGGATGTTGGAAGTGATGGGGCTGATGGGGTCATTCTGGGGAGGCTGAATAAAATGACTGTCTCTACATAAAGGTGGACTTTCTCCTGTGTGCTACATAGATGCCTACCCTGAATAATCTCCACACATGACTTCCACCCAAATTTTCACATTTTTGCTTGTCTCTCATTCAGCTCCCATTGACTTTGGTTGGTTATACCTTTTATAGAGTAAAGTTCTTGGGGAAATGTTCATTAGTCACATATGCTCATTCACAAATACTTATTGAGTATCTACAGTGTGCCAGGCACTGTTAAGAAGCTGGGAATCTACAGATAAATATAGAAATAAAAGTTATAGTTCCCATTGCTAAGGAAATCCAGCCTACGACAGAGCAGGCAGTGCAGGATATGTGTGCAACGGTTGTTCTCGGAGCATTTAAAGCAAACCCCCTTACCCAAAATGGGGGCAGGGTGGTTAGGGAAGATGTCGTGGTGGAGGTGTCATCTGTACTAGGTGGAAACCTGTGTAGGATTCAGCCAGTTTCAAAGGGAGGTGGCTGAGTGGAGGAAAACATTTCAGACAGGAAACTGCCTGTTGCAGAGGCATCAGGGTGACTAAGCTTGGAATGACCTATGATTCACACAGGCTTCGGTATGGTGGAATGTAAGGCATAAGGAGACAAGAGCTCGTGTTTTGTTTGGAACATATATAGCTGTCCAGGAAGCAGTTGGTATATTGTTCTGGAGCTCAGGAAAAAGATATGGGCTGGAAATACACATTTGTGTGAAGGTGACATTAAAGCCATGATCAGTGAGTCAGTTAACCCAAAGCTTTATGCAGCACGAGAGCAGAGCTGACAAGTGAATCCACCAGTTTGCAGAAGAGTTATTTGGATCTGGAAGGACAGACAAGGGCCAGGTCAGTGATAGAAGCAAAAGTGAGAGTTGAAGTCATGGAAACTATTAGCAAGGAAAAGAGCATTGCAAGGCAGCTGTTAGTACATTCTGTGCCGTTTGTACTTTCCTCATAAGAAGCTCTCAAAAGTGTTCATCCTGTTGGTGACTGAGGACTGTGGGGACCTTAGCAAGAGTCATTTCTCTGGAGTCCTGAGAATCAGAGGCCGGATTGCAGTGGAGTGAGAAGTGAAGGAGAGATTTGAAAGTAGAGAGAATTCTCTGGAGCAGTTTGATAGTGACGGAAAGGAAGAGAAGGTAGAAGCTAGAAGGGACTATAGATGCAAGGGAGAGATTTCTCTTGTTCTTATGTTTTAATAATTAAAGCAGTTGAGCACAGTTACATGCTAAGAGGAACAAAAGAGATGTGGAAGCAATAGAAGTGGTGGACTGCTTTGAGAGGGTGGAAGGTAATGGCTTGGTAGTGACTAATGAATTGGTGTGTACTTGGCTGTTTTGTGTAGGAGTGGCAATACTTCAGAGAAGCATCCGACTCTATGCCCCGTTTTACTCCTCGGATATCCTCATTGCTTCCCCCCTGGGCTTGAGGACCATCATTGGTGGAGAAGGAGAGAAGAAGAGAGATTTTGACTTTCTGTCTTCTATCGAGCTTCTCATCATTGATCAAGCTGACATTTACCTGATGCAGAACTGGGAGCATGTCCTGGTAATGCTGGCCATTCACATTCAGTGGGACAGTATTCATATTTAGAGGGATAAGACACCCAGTGGTTTAAGTCCTAAAGAATTATTTAAGTCCAGATTAGAACTCTTGTTTGGAAGCAAGGACACACACTCCACATTTTCTAATTTGAAAAAGTCTTTTGTCCCCTTTTCTACCCAGAGATTGTCCATAATTAAACTGTCTACAGATTAAAATTCCTGTCAGTCATTTTCAAATCTCCAGAAAAGATTTCTTTCCCTTAAAATTTCTTTCTACTAACTTTAGGGTGGGTGGATGGGTGGATGGGATAGGTTGATGGATGGATGGGTCCTCACCAGGAACATCTTTACCTAACATAATCCCACATGTGGTTTTTGCTTATGCTGTTTTGTTTGGTCTTTGGTGAAGATGGGAATACCCTGCTCAAGATTTTTTAAGGTGGGATCTTGTTTTGTAGAGAAATATAGGATGTCTTTATTACCCGATGTAATTTGTACTGTAATTTTTTTCTCCTTCTCCACACACTCTGCAGTGTTATCAGTTTTAGGACTGAAAAACTGCTTTGGAACAATCCTTATTTAGGAACTATAGGTTTATTTTTCTAAGGCATATGGGAACTCACCCCTTCTACAACCCCATGTCTTGAAGCTTGCAGGAAGTTTGGGACAAATGAAGGGTAGAACTTACTTCTAAAGTAGGAAATAAATTTATTGTACTCATTACCCTTCAATATCTATTACAAGGTAAAAATATAATTAAAATGGAAAAGGCATTTGGCATAGTCGAGTTATATTCTTAGATTTGAGGAAAAGACAGGGTGACACTGCAACTATTCCTAATGTTTTGAGAACCAGGTAATTGAGGGACAGCAGCTCTGTTTTCCATGGCATTTCCCTTCTTGTCCAAGTCTGGGACTTAGGGACCCATAGAGAGACCAGTGTGGCATTTCAGAAGTTCATTTTAAAGGAACATTCCTGTAGGTACCATTTTGATCATTTGTTAAAATTCCAGGAGGGCCAGTTTTAGCTTATCTCCTCATTGGGGATGTTTGGCTGACCATGGGCAAGTCACTCACCCATGTGAGCCTCAGTTTTCTTGTTATAATTTAGGAGATGATAGTACATGAGTTGATAGACTCGGAAAATGTTTAGCAATGTCCAACATGTAAATGCTCTCAGTCAACACTAATGGTAATATTATTTCCACTCAAAGCATTTGATGAATCACATGAACCTACTACCCCTGGACTCACATGGGGTAGACTTTTCTCGAGTGCGGATGTGGAGCCTCAATAATTGGTCCAAGTACTATCGCCAGACACTGCTATTTGGGGCCCTTCAGGATGCCCAGATCAACTCAGTGTTCAACAAGTACTGTGTCAACATGCAAGGCCAGGTGGGTTCTCGTCTTGTTTCCTCAGTATCTTCATGAGCACTGTTTATTGTTTGGGTCCTGAGGTAGAAGGAGGCGATAGCTTCTGGTCAAGAAGGGGATGGCTGTCCACCTAACGCTCTTGTTGACTACTGGCAGGTGGCCGTGAGGAATGTCCCAATGACAGGCTCTATCAGTCATGTCCTGGTGCAGCTCCCACATGTCTTCCAGAGGATGGAAGCTGAAAACCTAGCTTCAGTGATTGATGCCAGGTAACCCACTCCTCCCAGCAGGCCCCTGGGGACCACATAGAGAGATTTGACTTGGGCATACAAACCTAGAATTGGATTCCATTTTGCTTTTATTGATAACTACCAAATCAGTTGAGATAATTGAACTTAATTATGTCATTTGTCAGAGGAGGAAACTGAAGCACAGAGAGAAATAGTGACTTTGGCCTAGGTCTCATAACTAGTTAGTAGCAGGGTTATTACTATAAATCAGGACTCTTTCACTCTTGACTGTGGCATTTTAAAATTATACAGCTTTATGCTACAAAGTGTCTCATGTCAGCAAGTTAATTGTAAGCCCCTCAGGGAAAGAACTATTTTTCTAATTGTATAATTTCCCCCTTTTTCTTCATTGTGTTTAGTTAGGGGACCCCAAAGAAGCTTAGTGAGGCTTAGTATATGGTAGATGTTCAGTGATTATTTGTTGACTGTTGGACTGAGTGACTGAGTGACTGACTGACTGACTGAATAGTGTGGTGTGTACTTCCTAGAGTAATTCTCTGGGATATAATGGTATTACATCTGTTTTTTACAATGAATAGTGTTGACACTTATTTTTTTAGTGTGCTTATCAAGTTTTATCCTTACATAATCTCTTTGAGAGGAGGTAAATCATATTGGCCTCTGGGGAGGTAATCTTTTAACACGAGATTGTAATTTGCTCAGGGTCACACAGTTAAGAGACACCATAAGCTTAGCTCTAGACATTAATTTTGCCCTTTGCCATTCCAAATCAGGTTTAACTTTTTTGTGAACAAGATTTTGCCACAGTATCGTGATGCAGTCATGTCTCACACGCTCATCTATATCCCCTCCTACTTTGACTTCGTGCGTCTTCGAAATTACTTCAAGAAGGAGGAATTGAATTTTACCCACATCTGCGAGTACACGCAGAAGTCTGGTGTCTCCAGGGCCAGACACTTCTTCCTTCAAGGAGAGAAACAGTTTCTACTTTTCACAGAGCGCTTCCATTTCTACAAAAGGTAAAGTGGTGCCAGGTTTCAAGCCTCCTCTCTGAAGGGGAGGTGCAGGACAAATCATGGCCTGCTCTGAATGCATGGCAGGCTTCGTGGTGTTGAGATCATCCCTCACTCTCGCACTCTTACAAAGTAGCCAGAGAGTTTTTGGTTTGGACAGACTCTTCTTGGTTGGTTAGTTGGTTTTCTCCCAAAATGGGCATTGCTGAAGAAGGATGTAGAAACCAAAGCATACCCTGTCTATAGACCTGGCATGTAGCTGTGGTTATACACTGCAAGAAGGACATTACAGGACAACTCAAATGAATACAAGGAAGGGGAGGGACCTTCCCTGTATTCACTTGAGTTGTCCCTGTCTAGACTTTTTCCCTCTGTTTGCCCTCAGTGCACAGACAAAAGCATTGAGAACTGTGTTTTCTGGGGAGATGGAGGCTGAGTACAGTGTCAGTTTCCAGACAGTTGCGGTGTTCCTGAGGTATGCACAGATACTCCCTACCAAGGAGAACTAGGACCGTGGGCTCCTTGACATTTGCAGGAGGTAAAAGGGTAAGGGCTTCAAGTTGAATGTTGAAGGGTTTCAGCGTTTGCTTAGATTTCCTACCAGGTGACTTTGACAAAATAAGTTGATTGGTCTTCATGTTATTTTTTTAAAAACTCAGGCCAGGTGCAGTGGCTCACACCTGTAATCCCAGCACTTTGGGAGGCCAAGGCAGGCGAATCACCTGTGGTCAGGAGTTCAAGACCATCCCGGCTAACATGGTGAAACCCCGTTTCTACTAAAAATATAAAAAATTAGTTGAGCGTGGTGGTGTGTGCCTATAATCCCAGCTACTCGGGAGGCTGAGGCAGGAGAATAGCTTGAACCCGGGAGGCAGAGGTTGCAGTTAGCTGAGATCGTGCCATTGCACTCCAGCTTGGGCAACAAGAGCGAAACTCCATCTCAAAAAAAAAAAAAAAAAAAAAAACCAACTCTAATTAGAGGGTTAGTAATACTGAGCCTTCTATTACTGTTTGGGATAGTGGCGGCCCTTCTGGCCCTAGAGCTCATGTATTTTATTGTTTTGCTAAGTCTCTCTCTGTTGATAAATAGAAAAAGCTTTTTTATTTTTTAGATTTTTATTTTCAATTTTCATGGTTGCATAATATGTAAAAGGCTTTTTTTAACCCTTGCCTGTAGAGTTATGTAAATTACATTCTGTTACCTCATCCTGATTTCACAATAATGTCCAGTGGATTTAAGTTCTGACTTTACTGTTTTATTAACTCACAATGGGTGCATTTTCTCAGAGAATCCTAAACAGATACGCCAGAAATCTCCCAAGCTTTGGAGCACATTAGATGATGCACTTTGGCATTGCATTACCTTTTAGTTTATGCTAAAACGATTAGGATGGTGCTCCCCAGATAACGTCCTTGTTCCCAGGATGGGGAGGGAGGCGTCCCAGCAGCTTGCCTAGGCATAGCAAAGCTGGCATGGCATGACCTCTTAGAGAGTTGAGGATTGATTAAATTTGTGTTTCCCAGGCTCCATTCTTGGCTACCCAGAGAAGGCTGCTTGGCCAAAGAGTGTTAATGAATGCCTGCTTGTTGCCCTCATTATTTGCTCTGTTCCAGTAAGTTGTCGTTTCCATTCATGTTGGAAAGTATTTGGGGAAGTTGCACTCATCAGGTCTTAAAAGCTCTTAGCTTTCTATCATCTTGACAAATGAAAGCAAGCCCTTTAAGTGAAGTGGATGGATTGGAAAACTTCCCAGTGTGATTGTCTATGGCAACTGTGAATTAAGCTGGGATGGGAATTAAGCTCTTTAATATCTCAGCAGCTTTTCAAGGACAGGGCATGGAGCCCTTTGTAAGCAGGACAGTCTCCTGTATTACACTGTCTATTTACCAAGCCATGTTGCCCTCAAAGTCACGATAAGGACAAATCTCAGCATATGCCATTTGCTTTATGCCCTGGGCCAGGTTAATTGGTGTTTCTTTTGTAGAAGATGAATGAAAATAATGTGCTTTAGAGTTCTGCAACAGCTAATTATCTCAAGGTTTCCAGCTATAGAATTTTTTGCTCGAGAGATCACCAAGGTGATGATGGATGTTTTGGTGTGCAGTGCCTTTGTGATTTTTTTTTTTTTAATTTGACCTTAGAATAAGTACTTTTTTTTTCTTTTTCTTTTTCTTTTTTTTTTTTTAAGACAGTCTCACTTTGTTGCTCAGGCTGGAGTGCAGTGGTGTGATCTCGGCCCGCTGCAGCGTCTGCCTCTTGGGTTCAAGCAATTCTCGTGACTCAGCCTCCTGAGTAGCTGGGATTACAGAATTGCATCACCACGCCTGGCTGATTTTTGTATTTTTAGTAGACGAGGTTTTGCCATGTTGGCCAGGCTGGTCTTGAACTCCTGGCCTCATGTGATCTGCGCACTTCAGCCTCCCAAGAAGTGTTGGGGTTACAGGCATGAGCCACCGTGCCCGGCCAGAAAATGTACATGTATTTTATATTGTAGTATCTGACTCTGTTTTTATATTCTCTATGACAGCTGGCAATGTTAGGAAGATTAGAATTCATTTTTGAGTTAGCAAAAATTTTTTAACCTGAAGATTTGTTTTATGTGGGGAAGATTAAACTAGCAGAATCTTAGAATTGGATGAACATTTGGTCATGATTGCCCTCCCAGTGATGGGTCACAGCTCTTTTCCAGTGCGTTATCAGTGGGTTTCCACAGCAGGGAGGATCTCAACCAGGAGGCAAGTCAGAAACTGGAGGTGGGATTTGTGGAGTTTGGAAAGGCTGCTGGGAATTTCTGATTACTCCCTTCCCCTACAGGAGAATCCCAGTTCTAGAAGTAGTAGACTTGGTCTTTATGGACCGTAGGAAGGAGCCAGTCTTTCAAGTTCATTGTGGTTGCCTCATTTGTCTTTAACAGTGGCTCGTGAAATAGACATGTGGAAGGTACTGTAAGGGTGATTAGGCTGTGTTTGTAGGAGTCACTGAAAACAAAGCATATATAAGGGAGGAGGAAGGCAGGGTAAGGGGTGCTCAAGCTATGGAGACTTGCCACTAACTGCCCCTTGGAAGAGGCCCTGGCCATGTTCTCTGTTGCCAGGAGATACTCAGTCTCTATTGTGGTTGCATTGGGACTGAGACAGATTTTCATGTGTGTGTGTTTAATATAACACTTAACAGTTTTATTGTTTTGTTTTTCCTGATTGTGAGGGTATTTCACAGTTATTGTAGAGATATTGGAAATTTTAGGTTAAAAATCTCACTGCCCTGATATAAATACTCTTTTTGGTAATTTTTTTCCATCTTTTTTATGTGAAAAATGTGTGCACATGCACACGTGCACACACACACGTGTTTTTTTAAAAAACAATACTAAAATTAGGATCTTTTTTTGTTTTAAGGATTTTTTTTTCCTTTGTCTTAGATGTTTTATGTGCTCATTTAAAAAAATTCAAAGACTAACATTTTGGCCTGTATATTTGTATATTGTGGATTTTTGTGTATATTTTTAAGTTACTATATATAGCTCTACGACATCCTCTCTTCCCCCAGGTTTTTATTTGAAAAGATTTCATTGTGAAAGAAAATTGTTAAGAGACTAACAATAAACATCTGTTTATTTATAAATGCTTTTACCCCAAATTCCACCAGCTGTTCTCATTTTATCACATTTGCACATACCCATCTTCTCTCTATCCCCACTCACATCTCTTATTTTTTCTTCCTGAACCATTTGAAAGTAAAGTAGCGTGAGTCTTCATTGACACTTCACCCCTAAATATTTTAGCATGTAGCTCCTAAAAACAAAAACATTCTTTTATCTAACCATAGCACCATTATCATGCTACCTGATGTTACTACAGTAATATCATCTGATATCTAGTCTATATTCAGATTTTGCTAGTTGTCACCAAAATGACCATTATAGCTCTTTCCCCTCCGGCCAAAAAGGATTCAGTAAGGATCATATATAGCATTTGGTTAACTTACTGCTTTTGTTTCTTTAATCTAGTTTAGTTCTCAATTGGGGAACAATTTTGCTCCCTCAGGGACATTTGGCAATATCTGGAGACATTTTTGGTTATCACAACTGGAGGATTATTCTGGTGGTTCCAGTGGGTTGAGACCAGTGATGCTGTGAAACACCTTCGTTCACAGGACAGCCCCCAACCACAAAGAATTATCTGTCTCAAAATGTCAGCAGTGTTAACACTGAGAAACCCTCATCCAGAATAACTCTCTTGCTTTTTTACTTTTTCATGACATCGACATCTTTTTGAAGAGTCCAATCTGGTTTCCTGCAGTATGTCTCACAGTCTGGATTTATCTAATTGTTCCCTTGTTATTTAGATCAGTGGTTCTCAAACTTTGCCGTACGTTAGAATAGAAGCTTTTAAAAATCCAAATGCCCAGGTCACATCCCAGTACCAATTAAATCGCAGTGTCTGGGATGGGGACCAAACCTAAGTATTAATAAAAAAAATAAAAAAACAACCAGCTAGGTGATTTCAATGTGCAGCAGTTTGGGGATGACTGATTTAGAATAAATATCTTTTGATAAGAATTCTACTTAGGGAATATTACGTACTTTCTACCTCATCTCATCAGAAGGCACGTAATGTCACTTTGTCTCATTCTTGGTGATGCCAAATCACTAAAATCACTTAGTGTGTGTATGTAATTAATAAGTAACGTGTGAGGTAAACATCACATTGTTTTTAATGGCTACATAGTATTACATTGGTTAATTAAGCTAGCTTCCTTTTAGTGGGCATATAGGGGTTTTTTTTCTGTTTTCTGCTGTTGTATATAATAATACGCAAAACATCCATATGCATATGTTTTGATGAAATACTTACCTAGTTATTTTCTTGGGATAGATTTTGAAAGGAAAACTCGTTAGCACAGAGGCTGTACACAGTTAAAAATGTGTCATGCGTTGCCACTTATTTGCTCCTTTGCATCTTTTCCATATCTTCTCCTGAATTCATAGACAAAGTAATTTATGCTCCATTCACCTATTTCTCCAAAGCTCCATAGACTGAATTATTGCTACTGATGTGATAGTCAAAATGATACCTCATTGTTTGGATGTCTTTTCTTGCTTTTTTGTGTCTTCTATAACTTTCAATGGAATGTAGAGGCTGAAGTAAATAATACTTATGTCCGGCCGCACCCCTTCCGTAGGCCACTGGTGTGGGTGCTATCAATCTAGTCAGGATTTGATTGTTACTGTAGATACCTTCCCAACACCACAGACCTCAAATTCCTCCAGCAGACAGTGGGCTTGGTGTAGGGTCTCGGGTGCTGGAGGGTTTTTCTCAGTGTCCTGATTGCTCAGCTGTCACTGAGGCCTTGACACGTGTGCCAGAGGAGGGTCTCACTCCACACTCAGACCCCTCCTCACAGGAGGCCTCTTGTTTCTCCTTGCAAGGCATGAAGTCGGGGGGAGGGGGTTCTCCTGGTCCAGCTCAATTTTTGGCAGGCCCTTTTTATTCCAAGCTTTGGGGGTGAGGTTTTCTCAGGGTTCCTGCCCCGCTACCTCCGTGGCAGCCAGACTCCACCTTTTATCTGTGAGGGATCTTTGTGGTGAAGTGTATACAGCTTCTTCCCTAATCGAACTCTGCTTGTATCAGTGCAGGAACTTGGGCTGAACAGGTTTCTTACCCCTTCCTCTGGGGCAGAATGCTTTTTACTGGGTACAAGTCTTGTGTGGGGGACAAATGGAAGGGTGGGGGTTTACTGCCCTTCCCTTAAGGGCAGACAACTTTTGCTTCTACTCACCCTCCCCCTCAAGTGGTTTGCCTTTGCCTGCCTGCGATTAGGGGTGGGGGACAGGGTGGCTCCTTTCTTCTCCCCCGTGTGCTTCACGTTTTTACCATGGGTTTCACGATAATGGGCCTGGGAAGTAGGTGGGCTTTCATGTCCCTACCACCAGTGGGGTCTCCCTCGGGTCTTCTGCTTTCTCCAGGGCTCCCAGTGCAGGCCTCTGGAACAAGCTCATGAGTGGATGTGAACTAAAGGAGCATCCAGGGATCCCTGGGGTCCTGAAGTCAGGCAAGCCTATTCTTGCCCTTTAAGAATGTGTTAGAAGTGTATCTATTTTCTTACTACCCACTTTTTTGGCAGAGGCCATCTTTCTCCTGTGCTCTGCCTAAGGTGCAGTAGTTCCTGTGTCCCGTTTTTCCTCAGAAGGGCTACTCTTTGGAACTCAGTCCATGGTGAGCTGAAGCTGGCTCACACTGGCTCATGAGACCTGGCTGCACATCTCTGGGTCAGCAGCATGACATTGGTAGCTTGAAACTGACAAATCCTTCAAATTAGCACCCTCCCTTTCTCCCACTGAGGACCAATTATTAAACATACACCAGCTCACCACCTAATTCAGGTTACCTGATTGCTTCATGATGGTAGCTCTTTGGGCTCAAGAAAAGGAACATTTTTGTATAATAGATTATCTGACTTTTTCTTATTGGTATAGGAGCAATATTCTCGAGTTTTATACATTCTAAGCAGAAGTAGAACTCAGTGTTGTTTTTGTTTTGAGAACTAGTGAGGTAGAACAGTTTATTCAAGTTCATTAGCCGTTAGAATTCCTTCTTTATGGAAAGGATGTTGAAAGGTGAACCACATAATAGATCACAGTCATGGTTTGGGAAAGGAAGGTCTCCAGAGAGATCAGGATGAGCTGTGAGGGAAAAAGACAAGGAAAACTTACCTTCTGTGAAAGAAATAAAATCCCCAAGGGAGTCTAACGTCTTCAGTGTATGAGAGAAACTTAACAGGAAAAATCAGAAGCTTGTCAACATATAAAATCTTTTGTTATGGAATCCCACAGGGGAACGGTTGACGTCAGCCTGACTGAACCATACTGCAAGTCAGTCCCTTGGGTGTACACCACCCCCCACCACAGGGCGGCACTGTGCAGCTGGGAAAGAGATGGAAATGCATACGCTGTTGAAACTAATTGCTTTCTCATGATGCCTAGTGGGTCCTTGGGCAGGGTTTTGTAAATGGATGAACTTGGGACGTCTGCCATGGAGTTAACATGTATCCAGAGTGGCAAGAAAAGACTAATGGGAGTGTATTTACAATCTGTACAACTTATTTTATGTACTGGGTCTGACCTTGTCTCCATTCTTTTTTGCCTGATTATAATAAGGCTAATGTTCCATTTTAAGTGCCTGCTTTTTAAGTTTTCTGTGACAGATTTTTAAATCCTGGTCTACTATTCTTTCCCATGATACCTCAGCCTACCCAGTGTAGGATCAAGAAATGTGTATTTATTTTATCATTTTCTTAAGCCAAATATTAGGAATTCGAATATGTTGTCATAAAAAGAATTCAAATATGTTGCCACCTCAAGTTAGAATAACTTTTGTTCTGTTACTTGTGCCACTGTTTTTCTCCATTAGCAGGAAGCAACAAGCATGAACTATGCCTCTGTACAACTCCTAGGTAGTTTTTCTAGAACTTGTTTCTCAAGTTGACATAGCTCTTTCTTTCCAATTCTGACAGGTATACAATAAAAGGCATCAGGAACCTGATTTTCTATGAACTGCCGACAT